>NC_000010.11:53627943-53779458 GCF_000001405.40 Homo sapiens
GTCTTACCTGAGTTCCTTTCTCAGGAAACTTTCAGCCCCCTCAAATAGCATCAAAGAACTGAAACTCACCAGATCACTATATCCCAACAATGACATCCTCATCCATCATGATTGCTTCCTTAATCCTCTCTAATTCCTGTTTTCCCACACGTAGTTATGTTCCTTCCTCGCTATACAAATCTCCAGTTTTAGTTGGTTGGGAGATGAACTTGAGACTTATCTCCCATCTTCCAGCTGGCATTACCTGAATAACGCCTTTCTTCCTTGGCATTCCTCATCTTGGTGATTAGCTTTCTGTGTGGTGAGCAATGGTACCTAGACTGAATGCCTGGCAATTGGTAACAATTGCTATCATTTACAGACAATCTACCCATCCCCTTATTTATCAAATATCCTGCCAAATTGATTATTCATTTTCTCACTACTAGATATCCTATTATTTTGATGCCTACAATGCTCAGATGAAAAACCAAAAGAATTTTGCCTCTTGATTTCCTGATGTTCTTATTTTTAATAAAGTTCTACTTACAATTCACTTCAGCCACACATGCCATAGCCACTTGATTGGGATTGTATCACCTAGAACTGATCCCCTTATGAACCATTTTATGCAAATGCCTCACAACAGATTTTCTGTTCTGTTTTTCACTCATTTACCTGTTCTTTGAATTCAAAGTAATATTCAGTCTTCTGTCCAATCTCCTTTCTAATTATCTTATTCAATTTTATTTTATTTTTTGATGTAGATTAAATTATATGGTCCATCAGTTCAATGACACTCTTGTAACTATTCTGTTTTCTAGCTCCACTATCTTTCCATCGTTACTGTCTGGGAAATCTCTAGCACTAGTTCAACTTCACTGTCAACAGCCTCTAAGCCTATACAAAATTCCTAAGTGATAAATACACAGTCCCATATTTATGTCACAATATACTTATTCTTTGACCTTATTGGACCCTCAACAATGCCAAGTAATCTTATTATTTTCCTAATTAGCAATATCTCTGTCTCTATAGAAGCTTTTTCAAAATCTTTTTACTTGTACCATATGCCCAGCAATCACCTCTACCTTATTCTCAGTGGATGACTTTACTTCGTATTTTAAGAGAAAAAAGATAGAAGTCATCTTTTAAGGGCAACATCAATTCCAGCCACAAACCTTAGAATTTTCCTGACTAAACACACATCTGCATCATAATCTATACTGTTATAATAAAATAAATTTCTTCTTTTTTCTAAAGCTAGTCCTTCAACCTTGTACTGATTCCATCCACATTTACCTCTTTGTAGCCAATCGTCCTTTCCCGTGTATCTTCAACTATTCTTACTTTTTGGCTGCCTGAAATTAGTCTTATAACATCTTCAGATGTCTCCAATTTCTACTCTCCCTAGCCATTTTCTTTTTCTTTCTTTTCAAAGCTAAATTTCTTCAAGACTTGTTCATATTTCTACCTACTCATGTTTCACTTACATGCTTACCTATTACGATCTAGTTTTTTCCTCAGCCACTCCAATGAAACTGATCTTGTTGTGGTTTCTAGGAACCTATGTGGTAGGTAGTATAATGGTCCCCTAAAGATGTTCACATCCTCATCCTTAATTCCTAGAACTTATGACAATGTCACCTTACAAAAGGAAATTTGCTTATGTAACTTAGTTAAGAAATTGGAGATGAAGGAATTATCCTGGCTAATACAGTGGGCTCAAATCACAAAGGGCAGAGTCAGAGAAGGAGGTGTGAGGAGGGAGACAGAAGTCAGAGTGATGTGGCTATAAGCCAAGGAACGCAGGTAGCCTTTAGAAGCCGAAAAAAAAAAAAAAAAAGAAATTAAATCTCCCTTAGAGTATCCAGAAGGAACACAGCTATGCTAACTTGTTAATTTTAACCCAATATATCCTGTTTTAGACTTTTGAACTCTGGGAATGTAAAATGATAAATTTGTATTGTTTTAAGCTATGAAGTTTGTGGTAATGTATAACAACAGTAAAGAAACTAATACCACTTCCTAGTTGGTAAAGACAATATTTTCTATCTCTCTGTAACAATTCCATCTGAAAACTATTTTTTCCTTCTTGAAACCATCTTCCTCCTTTGGCTTCCTAGTTTCCTCATTATTGAGAATTTTTCTTTTTGCTTAGGTTAGGCCTTTTCAGTTTCCTGTAATGAATTTCTTCCTCTTTCTGTTTCAAAATTCTGAAATCACTGGAAGTTTTTTCTTTTTCTTCAATTCTTAGACTACTTACCTTATCTCATAAGGAGATCTTAAAGTTTCATCCATTTCTATGACTTTATTTGCCATTCGAAAACTCCAAAATCTGTATTTTTTAGAATTCTCAGTCTTAGCTATAAAGTTCTGGGACATCCAATTTTTTTTTTATCTTCCACCTGCATAATTCATGAATTCCATAACAGTGAAGGACACTGCCGTCTACTCAGTTGCCCCTGGAGGAAACTTGGAGCACTTCTCAATACGTTCATTTTTCTAACTGCCCAATCCAATCATTTACTGAGTTATAGATCATATACCTCCTAAACATTTGTGAAATTAGTATACTACTTTCCATCACCACCACTTCTACCATATTTCATGCTGTTGTTATCTCCCGAATAAATCGCTGCCATGACCTCTTCACTGATCTTCCCCTTACACAATCCAGTTAACATGCTGCAATGGGAGAGTTATTTCTGCAAATCTGAACTTGCTCATTTCATTAGCAGCATTTGCTGCTTTGTCTCTTTCACTCCCAAATCTATGGTTCAACTACACTTAAAAAAAAAAAAATTCCTAGAATAAGCCTCTCTCTTGCCTCTGGGAACAGCCCTTGACTATGTTTAGAATGTTTTCTCCATGTTTCTGCTTTCCTTTTTGCTAACGCCAGCTACTATTCTTCTTCATCGTGTATTTCCTCTCTTCCCCCAATTCTGAACTGATTCTCTTCCATTATTTATCTGCTAGCACCTTCTTAGCATTTTGTTATTTCTCTTCCTTAATATTTTGCCAGGATTATAGCAATTTTGTAGTTACTTGTCTGAGTTCTACACCATAATCCTTTTGAGGGCAGAGACTATGTCCACCTACCTCACTGTAATATACCTAGTATTTAACACACAGTGTCTAACATATTCTTTTTCACTTAGTAGGTGCTCAATAAATATTTCTAGAATGAATCAATAAGTGAATGCATGAGAAATAATTGCATTCAAAGTGGCATTCGAGTTTACTACAGGATGAAATGCTTGTGTCCTTAGCTATTAGACAAGAAGTCTCTTTTTAATTAAACATCTAAGGATCTGAGTTATTAACTTCTTTAGTCTTTTATTTATTTGATTTTTTTTCCTGTGGGGTTTTTTTTTTTTTTTTTTTTTTTTGGCTTGTTCTGCATTTCAGGGGACTTAGGAACTCAGTTCATCATTTCTCTTCTGTAGCTGCTGTCAAATATTTCTCAAAATCAAATATTTCTAAAAATCAAAGCCAACTAAATATTTCTAAACAAAGCCAACTGTAAATAAAGGGGCATCTAAACTTTTTCCTTAGAGTGCTGACTCTACACAAGCTTATAAATGTTTTTAAATTAATACTTTATTGTTAAAGCAGTTTCAGATTTTCAGAAAAATTGACCGGAAAGTACACAAACTTCCCTAACCTCAAGTCAAACCCTAAGCCTAACCCCAAACCCTGCCTGCACACACAGTTTCCCCTATTATTAACAACATTATTAGTGTAGTATATTTATTACAATTCATGAATCATGACTAATACTTTATTATTAACTATAATCTGTCATTTGCATTTAAGGTTTACTCTTTATATTGTACAGTTCTGGGAGTCTTGTCAAGTGTATAATGGCATGCATCCACCATTATGGTGTCATACATAATAGTTTTGCTGCTCTAAAAATTCCATGTTTCATCCATTCATAGCCCTTTCCCTCACTCTGAGCCCTTGACAACCACTGAACTTTTTACTGTCTCTATAATTTTACCTTTTTGAGAATGTAGAAGCATGGAATCATACATTATGTAGCCTTTTCAGCTTGGTTTCTTTCACTTAACAGTATACATTTAAGGTTTCTTTATGTCTTTCAAGGCTTTGTAGCTCATTGCTTTTTATTGCTGAATAAACAACTCAGCAATTGTATGAATGTATGATAACTTACTTATCCATTCACATATTGACAGATACTCTAGTTGCTTTCAAACTTTGGCAATTATGAGCAAAGCTTCTATAGACACTTGTGTAGAGGTTTCTGTGTAGATGTCAGTTTTCAATTCATTTGAGTAAATACCAAGGACAATCATTGCTGGATCTTATGGTAAAAGTATATATATACATGTGTATATATATATGTATATATATACATGTGTATATATATATGTATATGTATATATTTAACACACAGTGTCTAATATATATATACACACAGTTGAAGTATATTTCGCTTTGCAAGAAAGTACCAAATTGCCTTTAAAAGTGGTTAAACCATTTTGCATTTCAGCCAGCAATGAATGGGGATCCCTCTTTATCCACATCTCCATCAGTATTTGGTCTTTTCAGTGTTTGGGTTTTTTGCCATTCAATCAGTGTGCAGTGGTGTCTCGTTTTAATTTACAATTCCTTAAAGACATATGATGTTAATTGTTACTATCTGTATATCTTCTCTGTAAGGTATTTATTCAGATCTTTTGTCTGTTTTTGTTTTAATTTACTTTTGAATTTTAAAGGTTCTTTATACTTAAAACTATTTTGGCACCTGAAATACTTGCCATACCCTGGACAATGTCATTGTAAGTTTATGTGCACAATTTTAAATGTTCTCCATGAAGATTGTGTCAAGTTATATTGTCTTAATGGTGTATACCAATACCCATTTTCATACATCCTTGCCAGCCCTAAGTGTTATCATTTCTTTTTTTTATCTCCGATAATTGTCTATAGATGAATTTAAGAAGCAGCTAACAAAATGAACTTTAATTTCTGAGATACACATTTATGAGGTTGTCCTGTTTTGGACTGAAGCAAGAGAAGTATAATTTCAGTTGGTGAACTAAGAAAAAAGCTGCTCACTTCAATTATGAAATACTTCATTTCACAAATTCTTATTGACTACTTACTCTGTTTACTAGGTATAAAATAAATACTGGACCTATATGATTAAGAAGGCAAGTGAAGTTGTACACTAAAATTTATGGTGGGAGACACAGATCTTCTTAGAGACTAAATTCTATTGGTGGAATGCATGAATAAACTAATAGATTAATAAGAACAGCAGCAAAGATAATTTATCAACACTCAAGAAACAATTATTTAGCATCTTTTCTTTGGGGAAAGAACATCAAACAATTGAACAGACAACAATTTTCATCTTGGAGATCCTGCATTCTAGAAATAATTCTGTAATAAGTAAATTTTGGAAGCTTATAAGTGCTATGAAAGTCAATTGATCTGGGTAATGGAATTAGGTGTCAGACGGGGAAAGGAATAAAAGGGTTTGCAGAGAATTACTATGAGATGTATCACAAATAGTGCAATATCTCCAAGGAAGTAACATAATTGCTGAGGTTTGAGTGTGAGTAAGGAGGCATCTATTTGAAGATCGCAGACAGGCAGAAAGAACATTTATGCAAAGTCTATAAGGCAGAAACTAATGTGTATTTCTGAAGTAAGAGACAAATTTAAAAGGCCAATGTGCCCAGGGCCCAGAAAGCACTGAGTCACACTTGCTTCGGTTTAAAAGAAAGGCATGCGCCAGTGCACACAAAGCTATGCAAACCTAGGTAAGAAAGGTATAAATAAAAGGGGTACTTTTAGATTTATATCTATAATCATATAATACTTCTATCTCTAAAATCCATATCTGTTAAATGTGTTCTGTATGTATGAGTTTAAATATATGCATCTGTGTATTTGTGTTTCTGGAAACAACCACTTAATAATAGAAATGAAAGAATAGGTACCAAGTTCACTCTGGAACCAACTGTCATTGAGTTTTTCATATGATTGACTGATTTTTCTGAATCAGCGTTCCAAATAAAATGTTAAGAGCATAGCCAATTGATTGGTCACCCAACAGTAGACAGGGAGCATAAAGTGCAAGGCCAAGGAAGTCATAATATGGAATAAGGTAATTAGGTAGCAATATATCTGATGGGAGAGAAAAGGCAAAAACAGAGCATGGCATGATACTGAAATGTCAAGAAAAGGATCACACGAAACAGTACATAAGAATTCAATCCAGTGACTAAGAGTGTTGGGAATGTAACTGCTTTTATATGTAATCATTTTATTCATTTTTTCTGTGATAACTAATTTATATTTTTATAATTTTTTTATTCATGAAAGTAAATAAATAAATAAATAAATTCAGTCAATTTTGCCTTCTCACCCATTACCTGTGCCTGTAATTAAGATTCAAGCAGGGGCTTACAATATATCAAACCATAAGGGAATAAGGCAAAATGAAAGGTCTTCAGAGACATCTGTCCATGCTGTTATCTTCATGTGCATATCTAGTCTAGACTTTAAGCGTTATTCCATACAAATTAACTAAGTTCCCATCTACAGTTCTTTTTACATCTGTCAGTCTCTTCCTGCATAACATTAATCCTAGGAGCACATGACTTTTCCTTTGTTTATAAGGAATCCATTGGACATCAAGCTGCTTTGGGAGTCTTTCTAAGGTTCAGCCCTCTTATACCTTTAAGTTCTCGCCAAGTGCCGGAAGTACTCATAAATGAAATAACTCCCCTTTTCTCCTAAATTTCTTTAATCTATCTGTATCTTTCTTTGATTGCTTTTGCTCTTCCTCTGGAATTCAGCCTCAGAAAAAGGAACTCACCACTCATTGTTTTCCTTTTGCATGGTTCTTCCCCAAATTAACTGCATCTCAGGAAACCCTTTTCCCTTTTCTAAACTCATGGATGAGAAGCATTGTTTGTCTGTCAACTTGTTCCCCCTCCCCTCCAATTCTATTTTCTTTATTTTAAATTCTTGCATTCCTCAGGAGGGCCTAGCTTTGAAAATTTAAAAATATCTTTTTTGTATTCTCTCCTTTTTGTTGTCACATCCCTCCCTCGAGGAAAGCTATATAAATTAGTAGGAATGGCTGTCGTGGGGGAGTGACGACTATATGGGCTGGCAGCATGGGGGTAAAAGAATTTACCAAGACAGTTGTAGGTAAAGAAAGGCAGATTTATTAGAGAAAGTATGAAAATACATTACAAGAAAGCAACAGGCAGTTCAGCATGAGAGAAGTTGACTGCCAGGAGACAAAGACTTGCTGAGGATTTTATAGAAAGGGACTTGGGAACTTGCATTCTTCTGTCAGTGGGATGCTTGATAAATTGAGGCATTTGATGATAAGCAGGAAGTTTGTGAGTTATGTACGTTATTTGTTCCGGAGGGTTATATGTCCTGGGCTGTAAAGAAAAACAGATCTATAATTCATCTCCTTCCTCTTTTTGTTTATATGTCTTGAACCATGAAGAAAGGCATATTTATAGCTTATTTACTTTATCTCTTTGCTTTCCCCTGGTCTCGCCAGCCTGACTCCTTTTCCCTAATTAGGACTCCGCACTGGCACCTGGTTAATGTTGGTGAAGAGGTGAGAGAGCAGGGAACAAGGGTCTAAAGGACATGTACAATGCAAGAAGAAAATCAATGAATTATCCTAAAATATTTTTTGTCATAACAATCAATAAAATGGCATGATGAGATCCTAGACTAGGACATAACATGGAAAAGATTTATCTTAAAGATAAGCCACATACATGGAAAAGATTTATCTTAAAGACAAGCCACATTTGCAAAGAATTGAAATATCCATTTTCATATATTATTTAAATACATGGTAAACTTTACCCCCCTAATATGGCAAATTTATAATTTTTTTTTTTTTTTTTTTTTGAGATGGAGTGTTGCTCTGTCGCCCAGGCTGGTGTGCAATGGCGCGATCTCGGCTTACTGCAAGCTCCGCCTCCTGGGTTCACACCATTCTCCTGCCTCAGCCTCCCGAGCAGCTGGGACTACAGGCACCTGCCACCACGCCCGGCTAATTTTTTGTATTTTTAGTAGAGACGGGGTTTCACCACGTTAGCCAGGATGGTCTCAATCTCCTGACCTTGTGATCCGCCCACCTCGGGCTTCCAAAGTGCTGGGATTACAGGCTTGAACCACCACACCCGGCCTGTAATTTTTTTACATATAGAAATTTTAATCGTAAAAAGTCACTATGTGAAATGATAGATATGTTCTGTTTCTTTATAGTAACCATTTTACTATCTATATGTGTTACATAACAAGATGTTGTAAACCTCAAGTATACACAATAAAACTTATTAAAACACAACAGAAGAAAAAAGAGGGGCCAATACTGAAGTGCATTGAGTTCTTAAGATTAAAAAATAAACACATATAATTATAATTTTTTAAAAAAAAATGAAATAAAAAATTAAAGTTTTTTTTTTTTGTAATTTCAAGGTTCAAGGCATTATAAAAAGAATTCTGTTTTTTCCTGTTTGGTAGTCATTTGAATATCATATACTAGTTTGTAAAACATCTTATAGATAAATATAATTTGATTCACTTCCAATGACAGCAACATCTTGAGAAGAAAGCAAGATATGGATTTATTCAAAGAATTTACTTTTATATCTAGGAAACTATAGATTTAGTAGATTTCTTTCTAAAGAACTTTGGATCACAGGATTCATAGTTAGAGGAAAATCCCCACATTTAATTCGTTACTCTCTTTTAGTTTATGCCTCACAGCAAACCACTCTTGAAAGTTCTTTGTACAGTCTAGTTAGATATATATTTTTAATTTCATAAAAACTTGTACAATGAGTCAAGGAGTTAATTAAAGAAATATATAAGGGAAGGATATAAAATTTCTTGTTAATAATTGATATCACAAATATTATTGGAAAGGTCAACAAGCACTTCAAAACTGTTGAATCAAGTACCAAGCAATTAATTCATCTAATATAATTATATGTATTTAGCAAATGACATATTTTTAATCATATTGAAATTCATATTTCGTTATGCAAAACAAATTTAGAAAGGCACATGTTGCTGTGTAGTACAATTTTTTAATTGAGTCACAATGAAATCAATTTTTGCAATCAGCCAATATTTGTAGCTAGTTTTCACTTTTTAAATATTATTAAAAAGTCTTAATTTTTTATATTCAATTAATATTAATCTGGTACCTGAAACGTGCCAGAATGTGCTGAACCAAATATGAACTTCAGAGATGAACAGGCACAATCTCCCTTCTCAAGGGTAAGAGTCTAGTATATGGTTTACATAAGATCAATAATTGTTTTTAAAAGTGTAATAAATGATAATGTAGCAGGACAAGCCGCAGACAAAACCCCTCAGACACCGAGTTAAAGAAGGAAGGGCTTTATTCAGTTGGGAGCTTCAGCAAGCCTCATGTCTCCAACAACCGAGCTCCCCGAGTGAGCAATTCCTGTCCCTTTTAAGGGCTGACAACTCGAAGGGGCTCTGCGTGAGAGGGTCGTGATCGATTGAGCAAGCAGGGGGTACGTGACTGGGGGCTACATGCACTGGTAATTAGAATGGAACAGAACAGGACAGGGATTTTCACAGTGCTTTTCTATACAATGTCTGTAATCTATAGATAACATAACCGATTAGGTCAGGGGTCGATCTTTAACTACCAGGCCCAGGGTGTGGCACCGGGCTGTCTGCCTATGGATTTCATTTCTGCCTTTTAGTTTTTATTTCTTCTTTCTTTGGAGGCAGAAATTGGGCATAAGACAATATGAGGGGTGGTCTCCTCCCTTAATAAAATAGAGCAACTTAGAAGATCTAACGAGATTTCTGAGAGAGACATCTAATTCAGGCTGAGATAAGAAGGAGGATTGAAAAATGTTTCCAAATGGAGGTGATATTTGACTAATTAGTGTAGCATTACCTATGAAATGAAGAAGGGGCTGGTCAAAAAAAGAGTATGTCAGACAATAAAGCTCAGAGGCAAGAGAAATCTTGGCATATTTCAGCAACTCTAAATAGGTGAGAATAGCCATAAACTACAATGTATATGACTTTCTAGTGAGAAACACGGCTGAAAAATGCTGGCAGTGACCAAAACACAAAGAACCTTTTTAGTGTGAACTAAAAGCTTGAACTGTATTTTGAAGCTTTCCTCATGGGCTTTAATCATGACTGGGACATGATCAGAATTGTGTTTTAATCTATTTTCAAAATGCAGCTTCGTCTGGAGATATTTAGAACAGATTGAAAATAAGAATTAGGTGAAATCAAGTGAAAAACCAAACAAGAAGTAGACGTTTGGAGATAAGAGGACTTAGCAGTCTATAGGAGGAAGTAGATAGTGTGAGATCTCGCTTATGTATTGTCTTAAGCAGGATCTCAGGAAAGTAGTTAAAGCTAATTATATACTTGGCTTAAACAACAACAACAATCACTAAATAATTTAACATGCTGCAGGCAAGCAGAATAAAGCAGATAGAAGTGAGCAAGAGAAGGTGGAGACTCCAAGGATTCACTTTAGCAACTAACTAGAAGGATTGGGAGGTAAAATTTAAGGTGTGTACAGGTCTCCTTTTACCAAGGGTGAAAGGGAGAGCTTATCGGTACATGCTCAAGGGGGAAATTAAGCAGTAGTTTTTTGAAGGTTATGAAGAAATCTCAGAGATTCAAACCTTCCCTAGACTTCAGTCAAAGCGGTTTGGTTTAGTGCAGTTTCCTCAGATTTTGGTCTCTAATAATAATTAATAATCCAAAAGTGCTTTCATTAATATGGCTTATATCTATTGATATACTATTTTGTATCCTATGACATTAAAGTTGTGAAATAAAAAAATACATTATTAATTTTTAAATGAAAATCTATTGCATATTAACCCAAATAATGCATTTTTGTGAAAATAATATTTTTCAAAACACTGAGAAGAGTAGTATTGTTTTGCAATTTTACAAATATCCTTATCTGTCTAAAAGGAAGAAAGCTGTATTTGCATATCCACTTCTGCACTCAATATCTTCAGATGAATTGTTTTGTTCGAAATGTGTAATAATCTAGCCTCACAGAGTTATGTAGTAGGAAAATAGTCTTTTCAAATCATTGTGGATATACTCCTTTGATGTTATGCACAAACTCAACGAGTAGTTGTTTTTTTGTTTGTTTTGTTTTGTTTTGTTTTTTGAGACAGAGTCTTGCTCCGTTGTGAGACTCCAGGCTGGAGTACAGTGGCATGATCATGGCTTACTGCAGCCTTGACCTCCCAGGCTCAAGAAATCATCCCATCTCAGCCTCCTGAGTAGCTAGGACTACAGGCATGCACCACCACACCTGGCTAATTTTTCTTTTCTTTTTCTTTTTCCTTTTTCCTTTTTTTTTTTTTTTAATGGAGATGGAGTGTCACTATCTTACCCAGGCTGGGCTTGAACTCCTGGACTCAAGCAATCCTCTTGCCTCAGCCTCCCGGAGTACTGGGGTTACAGGCATGAGCCACTGTCCCAAGCCTAGTAGTTGTTTATTAAAGATTAGTTGCAATGTGAAATCTGAAACCTTATGAAGAAATGTTTCGTACTCTGTTACATTAAATTTATTTCACTTCAACTTAGAATGGACCTTTAACATGATCAATGATTGTAATCTTGTAACATTATGCATTTGTCATTTGACAAATATTTGAGATTCACTGGTCTGGTAAATGGGTTTTTTTAAAAATGTCAGGAAAAGTAATCATGAGAAATGCCCTGACCACCCCACTATGTTGGTGTGGGCTGTGCATTGTGACTTTCTTCCAAAGAGTACCCTATGAGAAAGGATGGTGGGGAAATGGGGTTTGGAAGAGAGTAACTTTACATTAGAAAAACCTGACAAGCACTACCTCAGCCAGGTAATCAAGGTCAACATAAAAATCATTAATTATGTTTAAAGTATGTAAACATGATATGATGTGATAAAAATTGCCCTTCATATCTGTAGTCTTTCCTGTCAATGACCCATAGTCCCTGTCTTATCATGAAAAAAAATTGTAAACATTAATAGTGGGACAGTCTGCCAAACACCTGATCATACTCTTCAAATTGTTGAGGCCATCAACAACCATGAAAAATTAAACCTGCTACAACCAAGAGAAGTATAAACAAACTTGACAACTAAACTTAATGTGGTATCCTGGAGCAGAAAAAGGACATTATATAAAAGCCAAGGAAATCTAAGTAAATTTGAACTTCAGTTAATAATAATAATTAATATTGCTTTGTTGATTATAACATGTATAATACAAATGTTAAGTTGTTAATAATAGGGGAAACTGGTTATAGGGCACAGGGGAACTTCTCTTACTATTTTCCATTTCTTTTGCTGCAAATTTAAAATTGTTTTAAAAAATATAGCCTAAGAAACCATGTTTAAAAATCCTTCCTGAATAAAGACTATAATTCCTTTATACATTATTCATCAAAGAGAATATAGGACATAAATCTTTTAGGGGACTAAATTCAAATCACCACATCAATTTGTATTAACTTGTCTGTTTTTCCCAAATTGATCTATAGATAGAAACAATCTCAATAACATCTAAACACATTATTTTATCAATATCAACAAACTGATTCTAAGGTTTGTATAAAGAGGCAAAATACCCAGACAAGTCAACACCAAATTGCAAGAGAAGAAGAAAGTCTGACAACTGCTACTATTAAGCATTAAGACTTAAAATAAAGCTCAAATAATCAAGATAGTATAATACTGGCAAAAGGAGAGATGTGTAGATCAATGAAACTGATAGAGAACCTGGAAATAGACCCACACAAATATAGTCAACTGATCTTTGACAGAGGAGCAAAGGCAATTCACTAGTCTTTTCAAAAGATGGTACTCGAACAACTGAACATCCACATATAGAAAAAAAAAATCTAGACACAGACCTTACATCTTTCACAAAAATTAAAACAAAATGTATCATAAACCTAAATGTAAAATCCAGTTCTATAAAACACAGAGGATAACATAGGAGAAAATCTAGGAGACCTTGGGATTGGTGATGACTTTTTAGATACAACATCAAAAGCATGATCCATGAAAGAAAAAATCAATAAATTGGACTTCATTAGATTAAAATCTCTGTTCTGCAAAAGATACTGTTAAGAGGATTAAAAAGATAAGCCAAATGCTGCAAGAAAATCCTTGCAAAATATGTATCTGACAAAATGGGTTCAAAATATATAGTTGACCCTGTGGGGGATAGGGGAGTGAGTCTTCCTGCAGTTGAAAATGTGTGTGTAACTTTTGACTCTCTGAAAACTTAACTGCTAATAGCTTATTGTTGACCAGAAGCCATACTAATAGCATAAACGGTCTATTAACACATATTTATATGTTATATGTATTATATACTATATTTTTAGAATAAAGTATCTAGGAAAAAGTTATTAAAAATTATAAGAGAAAATATGTTTACTATTTATTAAGTGGAAGTGGATCATGATAAAGACCTTCATCCTTATCATTGTCACATGTTGGCTGAGGGCGAGGAAGAAGAGGTGCTGATCTTGCTGTCTCAGGAGTAGCAGAGGCAGAAGAGGTGAAAGAGGTGGAAGGAGAGGCAGGAGAGGCGGAAAAGGCAGAAATACATCATAATTTCTTTCTGAATTCTTTGCTTTCTCATTTCTCTAAAGAGAATCCTGTACCAATCCTTCCACCATTTACTTTGGTTTCACTACCTGTATCATAGAAGAGTCCAGATTGTAAAAGAAGTCAAAAGCAGTCTTGGATAATCAGAATCCTTCTTCCAAGTTGTTTAATGTCGATTTGTTTTCTGGCACTGCTTTTACATCTCCTTCCTTACTCTCTGGCACTGGTTCAGAAGCACTCATCTCCATCAAGACATCTTCTGTTAATTCTTCTGGTGTGGTGTCTATTAGCTCTTAGGTTTCTCCAAGATCTATGTCTTAAAACTCTTTACTCTGCACCTTTTTTTTTTTTTTTTTTTTTTTTTTTTTTTGTCACATACATAGTTGCTTTCATGATTTTCTTGATTTACTCTGTTGCAAATTCTACAGGCATGAACAACAACTGAGCAGTTTCTTCCAGCAAGAATTTATTCTTTCAGGTTTGATTTGCTTTTACAGCTTTTTATATAACAGCAATAACATTTTTAATGATGTAATCCTATCAGACATTCATGAAGCTCTCTCTATTGAGGTTCTCTTCCATAGTACTGATGGTCCTTTCCAGAAAGTACCATTTGTAATGAGCCTTAAAGGTCCTTATGAGCCCCTGATCTAGAGGCTGAATTAGAGAAGTCATTTTTGGGAGCAACACAGACCACTTTGACACCTTCGGCATTGAACTCGTGGGGTTCTTGATGTCCACGGGCACTGTCCAAAATCAAAAGTACTTTAAAAGGCAGTCTCTTACTGACAAGGTACTTCCCATCTCTAGGGACAAAACATTGAAGGAACTAATTCAGAGACTAGGTTCTCATTGTCCAGGTCTTCTTTTTGTACAATCAAAAGACTGGCAACTGGTGTTTATCTTTTGCTTTCAAGGCTCAGGTGTTAGCAGCTTTATAGTTAAGGTCAGTCCTAATGATAAACCCTATTGCATTTACATGAAACAGAAGAGTTAGCCTTTCCTTTCCTGGCTTAAACCCTGGGGCTAGCTTCTCTTCCTTACTAATAAATATCCCTTGTGCAATTATTTTTCCCGAATAGGCACATTAATCTGCATTAAAAATCTGTTTAGGTACATATGCTTTCTCCTCAATGAGTTTCTTTTTTTTTTTTTTTTTGAGATGGAGTCTCGCTCTGTCATCCAGGCTAGAGTGCAGTGGCGTGATCTCAGCTCACTGCAACCGCTGCCTCATGGGTTCAAGCAATTCTCTGCCACAGCCTCCCGAGTAGCTGGGATTACAAGTGCCCACCAGCATGCCCGGCTAACTTCTATATTGTTAGTAGAGATGGGGTTTCACCATCTTAACCAGGCTGGTCTGGAAATCCTGACCTTGTGATCTACCGGCCTTGGCCTCCCAAAGTGCTGGGATTACAGGCGTGAGCCACCATGCCCGGCCTTCAGTGAGGTTTCTAATGACAACTGGGGACTGTCTGCTGCCTCTTGCTTAGCAGAACCGCTTCTCCTATTATCTGGACATTTTTAAAGCCAAAACTTTTTCTAGAATTATCAAACCATCCTTTGCTGGCATTAAATTCCCTAGCTTTAGATCTTTTACTTTTTATTTTTTTTAAGTTGTCATATAATTACTTTGCTTTTTTTAAATCATGTTAGTGTCTATAGGTATGCCTTTCTTATAGCACTCCTACACCCACATACAAGCTAACTTTTCATTGCAATATAAAAAGATATTTTGCCAGCCTGGACAACATAGCGAGACCTCCAGATCTACAAAAGTTTTTTAAAAATTAGCCGGTCACCTGTAGTCCTAGCTACTCAGGAGGCTGAGATGGGAATGTTGCCTGAGCCTAGGAAGTCAAGGCTGCAGGGAGGGGTGCTTGAGCCTAGGAGGTCAAGGATGCAGTGGGCCACGATTGTGCCACGCACTCCAGCCTGAAGGACAAAGCAAGACTGTCTCAAAGAATAAAGGTATTTTGCAAAAAGTGCATGGTTTTCACAGCTACTAGCATAATGATGGCAGCAACAGCCTCATAAATTTCATTTTTTTTTCTTACAATGCTTCTTTTGCTGAATTGATTCCTCTTGAAATGACAAGCAACTGCAGCTTCAGACCTCAATCTATAGTACATATTAAGCAATTCAACTCTTTCTTGTAATGTCATGACTTTTCTCTGCTTCTTAGGAGCATTTCCAGAATCTCCAGTGGCACTTTATATGGGTTCCATGGTGTTATTCAAAGTTTATAATAATTTCATTAATATGATGAAAGATACACAGAACTACGACAGGTCGCTTTTTACCGTGATATGCAATTTAATGGAGAGACAAACTGCTCACGCAGAGATAATGAGTATCACATGGCATTTTAAGCAGATACTTGCAACACTTGAGCTCATCAGATAGCAACAGAAGGTGGCTATGAAATTATTACAGTAGTACAGTATGCACTACAGTTAATTTTATAGTTATGATTTAATACTTCATCTTTATGGTTTGCTTACATTTCTCTTTACTGTGAATGACCCCACATATGGTCTTTAAGTGTCTGTGTGTAATTTATTATAAATTTTAACTTTTAGCAATAATTGTGTACATATTTTATGGTAGTAAATGATAAAATAGACTATTATCAACATACATGTTATGCATTAATGACATACGTAACTTTTTCTGAATTTTTTTATATTGCCGGGTTTTGTGGTTTGTCTGCAAGTTTTAAGTTGTTATAAATGTCCAAAAATTTTCCAATATATTTATTGAAAAAAAAATTTGTGTGTAAGTGGACTCGTGGTTCACACCCACGTTATTCAAGGGTCAAGTGTATGTCATTCTAAATTACAGACCATTTCAATCAATGCCTAAAAATTGGCTCTTAGGATTATATGTGGCAGCCACCACAGAAAATTTTCTGGCCTAAGATTCCAACAGAAGGAAGAGAGAGATAAAAACAAACAAAACAAACACAGGAAATATGTACATTTAGTTAGGGTAAGCAGCCTTAAGTATGTCAATGGAATAAAATTTTTAATGAATAACAGTCCTATATAATAACCTGATAATACAATTGTATTGAATTATCAAAATAAAAAGGTGAAATAGGAACCATGCATTTTAAGAAAATGTTTTAAAACAACTCTTATATAAATACTTAGAGTAAGAATTTACATTTAAATGTTGAGTTTCAGTTGCCTAGATAATTCAGTTATGTGGAAAAACTACTTATTATATTACTATAAATAATCATGCTGAAATTCTGTGCCCTTTTTTGAAACAGGGTAAAAATAATCAACTTTTTCAAATGTGTCTGGTATTTTAGCAGTGACTTAAGTTATCTGTCATGATTTTATTGAAAAATTACTAAAAAAGTAAACATAACCTCATATAGATTTACTCTGTGGCTATTTTGTAGTAGTTCAAGAATTACATCTTTAAAACGTATCATTGAACACTATTCCTGCTGCTTTAAGCAACAGAGTCAGCCAGAAAATAGAAGCGGATACTGACTTCACGTTGAGGGAAGATGCTAGATCCCTAGGAGTAATGATGTAAACCCTGTCCTGAAGGCAACAGCCCTTAGGACGAAAACATACAGAATCAAGAATGAAGCTCTTTCTTGCCTGAAGGCAATTCATCATCTATTTCTTTACATTGTAAACTCTCAAAGTCTTCTGCAACTGAGAAAACATCCAATTAAAATAATTCACTGTCATTTATAATCCTTCGGCTCCCATTATGTACATGCCATTTTAGTAATGATGATATAACATTTACTATTAGGGATTTAAGGATAAACTTATTAAGAAAATCAAACTTCTCTA
Organism: Homo sapiens; assembly: GCF_000001405.40. Lineage (NCBI taxonomy): Eukaryota > Metazoa > Chordata > Mammalia > Primates > Hominidae > Homo > Homo sapiens. The sequence goes on from NC_000010.11 coordinate 53,645,401, forward strand.
TGTGTTACCTTCTGGGAAAATATGAAGAATCTATTTTATTTTTTCTAAATCTACTTACTGTAAGTTTTATAGATACAGCCTTTAGCGTTCAATCAATCTGCCTGTCTGTATGCACTAGTATATGTGTGTATACATGTAGTGATGATAAATACATGATAGATAGATGATTGATAGAAGATAGATTGATAGCTAGCTAGATAGATAGATATAGATAGGCAGACAGATAGGCATATCCATGAAGTTCTTCTTGTATCTAGATAAAGTCATTTTAACACATGATCGCTAACCTCCATTGATAAAATAACCACTGCCTACCATGCTTCTCCTCTAACACTTTCTAAATAGCACGTTTTGTGCTTCAAGGTGTGAGCCCAAGTGGGAGCCAGGGCCATTGGTGTCACAAATAATCAAGGCCACTTTCTGTGGCTTTGCCATGCCCTGTGATACACTCTTTGGGCTGCTGATATTGCTCTATGATATTGCCTTCCCTTTCTAGGGTCAGAATTCAGCCTGTGCAGAGAAGCCCTGCGTCCAAGGGGTTCCTCATGAAGTGGACTGGGAGTTCCACCTCATGGCCCCCTCTCCTTCCCTAAGTAGATATGCAAGCCAAGGTCTAGGGTAGAATGAGTTCATAAAACAACTTCAAATTGGATTCAGGACAACTAAGTATTTTGGATATCTAGTCTCTCTGGCTGTTTAGTTTGTGACAGATTCCTGTTTTTGCTATGGGCATTTTTCTTCTCTCAGGCTCCACTTAAGGCTTGAATTGCATGTCTTGGCACTTTAGTTATGACTTGATGCTTTAAATCTGTGCTTCAAAGTAACATACTAAAATAACGAAGTTGTATTCAGTTTTTCTCTATATATTGTATTATATTATTTATAATATAAAGATGATTTTGTTGGAGGAAATTCAATTAATCATCCTGTATTCAAACTCTCTTTTGGTGTGAATTTCAGAAATATTAATATTTTTTAATTATGTTGGGATTATCTATGTGAAAACATGTCAATCTGCAAAGACATAATGTAGTGCTTTGAGGTTTATCTTGGGCCTAGTTTAATTTTTACTCTCTTCGATTTAAACACTCTAAATGTTTGTATTTCAACTGACTTAGTAAGCAGAATTAGGTCACACCGACACCATCTAGTCAGTAGTAGAAACTGCATTCAAACACAGTCTCTATGCCTTAATAACTATCTCTGTGACCGTGTAGCACCTTCTTCAGTAATGGAAGGCGCTTCTGTAACTTTGCTTGTATCTCTCCACCATATGGTTTCCATCAGAGACAGAAACCTGTGCCAGACAGCGTGTTGCATGAACAGATGCAGTCCCACACTATAAATATTTATTCCTTCCAGAGACAGCACACACGTGTTCACAAAGTTCACACAACTATTAAGCGATTGAGCCAAGATTCGATTCAGGTACACTAATTCTAGACTTTTCATCCTTGTCTACTCTGTTATTCTACGTAGATTACTTCAGGCAGTGATAAACATATGCATACATACAAACTGAATTTTAGTTTTTAATCACATTTTGGAAAAATGAAATATTTTAAAAGTTTAAACATTGTTTTCAGCAAGTATTAATGATTAGGATATAAGAAATTTCATATTTACATTTTTTTTCCAGAAAGGGAAATACTAAACATTTTCTTTAGCTTTAGCTCATAAGAGTACTTTTTATTCAAATTTATCAAGAGACAATGGCCAGGTTAGGGGTTTCTTAAAGATGTGGACTTGCAAGGGGGTCATTTGAAAATGGGACCTGCAGCCAGGCATAGTGGCTTATACCTGTAATTCCAGCACTTTGGGAGGTCGAGGCGAGTGGATCATTTGAGCTCAGGAATTCAAGACCAGCCTGGCCAACATAGCAAAACCCTGTCTCTACTAAAAATAAAAAAATTAGCCGGGTGGGTAGTGACGCATGCCTGTAATCCCAGCTACTTGGGAGGCTGAGGCAAAATAATTGCTTGAGCCTGGGAGACGGAGATTGCCTGTGAGCCGAGATTGCGCCACTGCTCTCCAGTCTGGGTGACAGAGTGAGACCTTGTCTCCAAAAGAAAAAAAAAGAAAAAGAAACTGGGACTTGAAACTGATCACTCCAATACCCTGAACATTAGCCAACATCAAGGCAACATAAATTCACCCATTTTAATATTCTTTCCAGATTTTTATAATATAAAAACTACATTTTTTTCGTTTAGACCAAAACAATCATAAGTTAGAGAATATTTAACTCCAAAACACACATATCATGTGACTTAACAGTACATTATTATGATATTCCAATGAAACAATGTCTCGGACTTGATGAGGAGTTTTGGAAACCAAATGGGAGATTAAAAGATATATTTAAATCAGGGTTTCTCAATGCTGGCACATGGATGTTTTTGGCTGAATACTTCTTTATTGTGGAGGTTTGTCCTGTGCATTGCAGGATGTTTGGCAGAATTCTTGGCATCCACCAACTAGATGCCAATAACATTTCCCTCCAAGATATAGCAATAGAAAATGTCCGAAAGCATTGCTAAATGTCTTCTAGGGTGCAAAATCAGCTCTGGTAAAGAACCACTGTTCTAAATGTTTATATCTGTGCAAACAATAAGCAAAAGCAAACTAACTAAAATTTTGTCATAAAGAAAAGGTACAATTTCATGGGAAAAATTCTCTCTTAAAGTATTAGCCCTGAAGGGTTAGTTAATATTTTATTATAAATAATTGAGAACATTATATGAAATATACTGTTTTTAAAATATATATAAATATGCAACATATGTATAAGATAAAGGTAATGAAATTATAATTTAATTTGTATGTACTGATAGAATTTTTCTGTCAAACACAGCAAAGGCTTTATTTTCTTACTCCATATTACTCAGATTTTAATTTTGCTTTGATTTTCAAACCAAGATTACATATGTGTTTAGAGCATATACTTCTAGGTAGAAGCATATCTATTTTAAGGAAGATTTAATTCAAAGGAATCATTAATTTACTTAAATGTCAGAGAGATAGATTGTTCTATGGAAGTCTTATAAGTAGTTAAATAGATTTAAGTGCAAACTATGTAATATCTCATATATAAGGTGGACTCTCATCCAAAAATTAGTGACTTAATAAAGATTCAGTGGAAATTTGACCATGAATATTTCAACGTTCTTTTTCTCTATTTTATTCTCCTTTGTGTATGATATAAATGACACATTAACGGTAGCAAGTCTCTAGTCTATTAGAATCTTTAGTAAAAGACACTTCATTTATCCTGATGATCACACTTCCTTTTATAAGCCAGTTGCCCTTGACCAGATATTCTTCTGACCCCTACCTTAAATGACAAACTCTGTTTCTCAATGTCATTTCATGTCCTGCCTTTATTATTTATGACCCTACATAGGTAATCTCCCTATTTATAAGGCTGATATTTCAAATAATAAATGTGCTAAATTACAGCTCAGTATTTTAGGCAGACAGAACAGAACGTTTGTGGGCTTTGAAGAATCACATCAGGAATGGAGGTTCCTCTGCCACTGCTGCAGATCATTAATGCTTAAGCTATTGATTCTTTAGTCAAACTATTACAAGTCCGAAGCTTGACACAACATCCTTAATAAATGCTTTGTAAGTAGAGAATTTGCTCTTGTTTGCTTTTGTGTTGATTTCTTAAGACCAGTGGATAAGTTGATTTCTTAGACAAGTCTAGCCTTTAAATGCTTTATGTTTACATGCAGAAACAGCCATCGCATTCCTGTCATTTATCATTTAGTAAACAGTATTGTCCATTTCTTTTTCTTCCTTCTGCTTTATCATATTAAAAATCATTAGTTTCTTAATCAATTCAGTGATAATTAACTTTCCTAGGATGTGTCATAGCACATGCCTACAATGTCTAGCATAGTATGTACAATAATTAGTGACCAGTAAATACTATATGACTGTACAGAATTTCAGAGAAAAAAAACATTTAAGAAACCATGCACTGGCCAGGCACGGTGGCTCACACCTGTAATCCCAGCACTTTGGGAGCCTGAGGTGAGTGGGTCACAAGGTCAGGAGATCGAGACCATCCTGGCTAACACAGTGAATCCCCGTCTCTACCAAAAATACAAAAAATTAGCCGGGCGTGGTGGCAAGCACCTGTAGTCTTGTTGGAAGGCTGAGGCAGGAGAATGGCATGAACCCAGGAGGCGGAGCTTGCAGTGAGCCGAGATCGCGCCACTGCACTCCAGCCTGGGAGACAGAGCAAGACTCCTTCTCAAAAAAAAAAAAAAAAACCATGCACTTGTACACACACACACACACACACGTGTGTGTGTGTGTGTGTATATATATTTATACAGGTTTTTAAAACTGTGCTAGTTTATCAACAATGGAACATGGATTACATAAAGAGCATGAGGTCAGGTTTTCAGAAATTAATGCTGTCCGTCAAAGTAATTTTCAGCAGCTTAAGGATTGTCACACATATTTCTTGAAATCCCTAAGATTCTTTCTACCATTTAAAAATATGTTTGTAATTATCTGTTATGGATTGTTATTATCCATAACTGATTAACCATTGTCAAATTTGGGCCGGATGAAGTAAAATAGCATACATTTCATTTCACCTTTGATGAAATGGTTCCCCTGATTGAAGTGACCAAACTCACCCATATGTGCCATTTTGAAACCTCAGTAAAGGTTTAAGGATATAGTGTTAGTTTTAGTTAGTTAAAATTTGTTAGTTTTATTTATTTTTTTCAATAAACAGATTGCTAATGTACTGTTTTTCACAATTCATCCAGGGAATCATATTAAAACTTCTAATTATTTAATTAGTCTATTATGTAACAAGCTGATCCTTGATGAGAAAGAGTGAAGGGCAGCCGTATTTAATGCCTTTGGAAGGCATTTGTTAGGATAAGTATTTGAAGTGCCTCCACATGCATACTATTATAGTTAAGAAGGAAATTAGATGATTAAAAAGAGAAATAATACACATTTAATGTAAGCTGCTGTTGAGTACAGGAAGCAACAAAACTAAATTCCTTGCAAAGTTGCTGCTTCTTTAAATGATAATTTAGGCACATGCATAGCCTAAAACAAAAGTCAAATAATGCCCTAACAATGCATTTCATCAGACTCTGGCAACAAGAAACAGGTAATTGAGTCACATTACCTTATCTTGGAGGGGAAAGACACAAAAGCCATCTTATCATTTTTTTTTCTTTTTTCTTTTCTTTTCTTTCTTTTTTTTTTTTTTTTGAGATAGGGTCTCACTCGTCACCCAGGCTAGAGTGCAGTGGTACAATCTCAGCTTACTACAACCTCCACCTCCCAGGTTCAAGGGATTCTCCTACCTCAGCCTCCCCAGTGGCTGGGACTACAGGCAAGCGCACCACGCACAGCTAATTTTTGTACCTTTTTGGAGAGACGGGGTTTAACCATGTTGGCCAGGCTGGTCTCAACCTCCTGACCTCAAGTCAAGTGATCCACCAGCCTCGGCCTCCCAAAGTGCTGGGGTTACAGGCGTGAGCCACTGCACCGCACCATCTTACCATTCTTTATGTGTGAAGCTGATGAAGCTAAAAGAGTTGTGCTGACTCATGCAGTATCATACAGCATTCGGCCAACCTCTGTGACTCTTGGTTTACCAATCTCTTTATATACCAGTGTGAAAACTGTAGCCAATAATACGGACCTTCCTTGCATGAACTTTAGCATACAAGTCAATTAAAAAGATCAAACTTTAATATATACATTGTCACTGTTTTCTAACAGCAAAGCTTTATTTTAAAAATAATATCTGATTGTTTCCAATTTTAAAAAAGATAAAACACAAATTTAACCAGAATTACCCTAACATTTGACTGTGGAGTCAATTTGCTATGGAATTAATGGAGCTTAGAAAAATAGTTCCCTGATCTAAGAACAAACAATCTCCCCATTCATGGAGAAGCTCAATTATTATAGAAGTGCTTTTCCTTAGTGTAATACTGTATATGTGTATGCTACGCTGGTTACCATTACCTGTCCTGAAAGAGAATGTACACTCAGCATTGCAAGTTATTTTGCCGTGACATCAATGCGGTATGCTGCATGTATGTCAAGGACAGTTGAACAGATTGGTGTATACTCTTGGCACCACTTAATATGACACTGTAAGAAAGTTTCTTACTCTTTCTCAGCTTCAATTTATTCATCATTATGATGTGGATCATTAACACTGTATTCTAGTTTATTGCAATAATTAAATATGCCACTTTCTATAAAGCCCTCATATTACCTCAATTAATAATAATGATTATTAGTATGTTATATTTCTACTATCATCATTATTGTAATTACTAAATATTTTGTAGAGCAATTGTTTTTAGATGTGGGGTAGGGAAATATGATCTCCCTTTAAAATCTGATGAAATAATTTGATTCTATTGACTTCGCTTAAATTAACACAGAGACACACAAATTTTCGGACAATTATGGGGAATATTTAGATACCCTAAACTTTATTTGGCATTTGCAGTTAGGTAATGGACATTAGGCTGAGAAGTCTCTATTTAAACATAAGTTTTGACTACAATAAAGGTGAGAAGAAAATGGGAACCTTATATGAATATCATCAAAAGACAGAGGAAGGGTTGGAAACCTGCCTGTAACTCTAAAGATGGAGAATATAGCAATGTGTAGATGAATGACAATTGGATTTAGAATCAAACAGATATGGGCTCTGCTGTGAATGATGAAACAGGATGCTGATATGAACAAATATTAGATGACATTTAGCAATCACATTCTGGCCAGCCAACTCCAGGCAAACAACATTGTGTTACTGACAAGTCATTTGTTACGGTATAGTTCCTGAGAAATATGTGTAGAAAACCGTAACAGAGAAAGCAAGGCACCCCTACATATTATTTGGGACTTTGGCCTCAACAGCCAGTAATGCAATCCAGTAGGCTAGGCTGGAGTTGATTCTTTCAATGTCTCTCTACTTAGGTAGGCCTGTGCAGCCGAGTCCTGCTCTCCAAATATATAGGGAGGAGAGAGGAGATATACCTCAATATCTTAATGATGGCTGTTTTAGGATGCAGACTCAAGGCCTTCTTAAATCAGGGAAAGTATCTAGGTAACATTACTTCTGTGCATGGGGTAGTTTTTATTTTTATTTTTGTCAAGGTTATCACAATTTTGTTTCTTTATTTTGTTTTGTGGAGGAGGAGATTTGAGATAGGTTTATGTGTGTGTGTAAATGAGAAAGAAGGGAGAGAGGAAGAATGAAGTATTGGGTCTTCTCTTGTGTATAGAATGGGGGAATTGCCTCTACTCAATGACTTAAACAGTGTAAATGTCAGAGAGGGGTATAAAAGATCACATGCAAGGCATGATGATCTATAAAACTTTTTAAAATTCTCACCCTTAGAAACCTAGACAATATCGATGTCTTCAAATTTTACAATATATGTCCTTCTTAGCAGTAGGGCATTTCCCCCTGGATTCTGACTCATTCCTTTGAAGCAACATAGAGAATTGAAGGAAGAGAAAAAGGTTTGAATCCCCCCTAAAAGGCAAGTGTAGGTTATCTACTTAGTCACTTACAGAAGTTGAGTAAATATTTTAGCTTTATGCATCAAAGACTTGATATACTACCATATACACTATGAAGGAAATTGAAGTATAGCATAAATTTATCAAAATTTAATTACAAATTTCAAAGCACCTATTACAAGTCTTGCACTTGATATGTAATCACTATGTAACTATATCTTGCATGTAATATGTACTCAGATATGTAACTATATATATTTTACTTTACATTTTGCCTTTACATGGACTCCTATATATTTTAAATATGAAAACCAATTTAGAAAGAGTGGTCTGTACCTACCATTACATATACTTCCAAAATAAAGATAAAGAGTCATGATAAAAGTTTGTATCAAATGACCCTTTTTGGCTATTTTCTAAAATTACTGACTAGAGCTTCCATTACATAATTCTTTAGCAACATCAGTTGTGATGGCCTATTTTTACATGACACATGGGCTAAATGTAGTGAATTCACTAGAGTGGAATTATTCAGATCATAGTAATTGTAAAATGTATCAGTGTCATTCATGCTTAAGAGCCAAAGATGATATTGAAATAGGCTTATCTCTTCTTCAGGATCATTTTCTTCATTAATTAATGTTAACTTAAGATATAAATTCATTTTCAGAAGTCAATTATAAAAATTGGTCCGTGACATTACTATAGAAATGTACAGACATATGTCATGTGAAAATTTTTTTTATGGTGATTATAACTTTTAATGTATATATAGATATGTTACATAATATTCATATAGTGAGATTATATATTTCATTTTTTATTTTTCTGTATTCTCTAAATGTTGTATGATATATGTATATTTCTTTATTTTATTATTATTATACTTTAAGTTTTAGGGTATGTGTGCACAATGTGCAGGTTAGTTACATATGTATACATGTGCCGTGATGGTGTGCTGCACCCATTAACTCGTCATTTAGCATTAGGTATATCTCCTAATGCTATCCCTCCCCGCTCCCCGCACCCCACAACAGTCCCCAGAGTGTGATGTTCCCCTTCAGGTGTCCATGTGTTCTCATTGTTCAATTCCCACCTATGAGTGAGAATATGCAGTGTTTGGTTTTTTGTTCTTGAGATAGTTTACTGAGAATGATGATTTCCAGTTTCATCCATGTCCCTACAAAGGACATGAACTCATCATTTTTTATGTCTGAATAGTATTCCATGGTGTATATGTGCCACATTTTCTTAATCCAGTCTATCATTGTTGGACATTTGGGTTGGTTCCATGTCTTTGCTATTGTGAATAGTGCCGCAATAAACATACCTGTGCATGTGTCTTTATGGCAGCATGATTTCTAGTCCTTGGGGTATATACCCAGTAATGGGATGGCTGGGTCAAATGGTATTTCTAGTTCTAGATCCCTGAGGAATCGCCACACTGACTTCCACAATGGTTGAACTAGTTTACAGTCCCACCAACAGTGTAAAAGTGTTCCTATTTCTCCACATCCTCTCCAGCATCTGTTGTTTCCTGACTTTTTAATGATTGCCATTCTAACTGGTGTGAGATGGTATCTCATTGTGGTTTTGATTTGCATTTCTCTGATGGCCAGTGATGGTGAGCATTTTTTCATGTGTCTGTTGGCTGCATAAATGTCTTCTTCTGAGAAGTGTCTGTTCATGTCCTTCGCCCACTTTTTGATGGGGTTGTTTGTTTTTTTCTTGTAAATTTGTTTGAGTTCATTGTGTATTCTGGATATTAGCCCTTTGTCAGATGAGTAGGTTGTGAAAATTTTCTCCCATTTTTTAGGTTGCCTGTTCACTCTGATGGTAGTTTCTTTTGCTGTGCAGAAGCTCTTTAGTTTAATTAGATCCCATTTGTCAGTTTTGCCTTTTGTTGCCATTGCTTTTGGTGTTTTAGACATGAAGTCCTTGCCCATGCCTATGTCCTGAATGGTAACACCTAGGTTTTCTTCTAGGGTTTTTATGGTTTTAGGTCTAACATTTAAGTCTTTAATCCACCTTGAATTAATTTTTGTATAAGGTGTAAGGAAGGGATCCAGTTTCAGCTTTCTACATATGTCTAGCCAGTTTTCCCAGCACCATTTATTAAATAGGGAATCCTTTCCCCATTGCTTGTTTTTCTCAGGTTTGTCAAAGATCAGATAGTTGTAGATATGCGGCCTTATTTCTGAGGGCTCTGTTCTGTTCCATTGATCTATATCTCTGTTTTGGTACCAGTACCATGCTGTTTTGGTTACTGTAGCCTTGTAGTATAGTTTGAAGTCAGGTAGCGTGATGCCTCCAGCTTTGTTCTTTTGGCTTAGGACTGACTTGGCGATGCGGGGCTCTTTTTTGGTTCCATATGAACTTTAAAGTAGTTTTTTCCAATTCTGTGAAGAAAGTCATTGGTGGCTTGATGGGGATGGCATTGAATCTATAAATTACCTTGGGCAGTATGGCCATTTTCACGATATTGATTCTTCCTACCCATGAGCATGGAATGTTCTTCCATTTGTTTGTATCCTCTTTTATTTCCTTGAGCAGTGGTTTGTAGTTCTCCTTGAAGAGGTCCTTCACATCCCTTGTAAGTTGGATTCCTAGGTATTTTATTCTCTTTGAAGCAATTGTGAATGGGAGTTCACTCACGATTTGGCTGTTTGTCTGTTATTGGTGTATAAGAATGCTTGTGATTTTTGCACATTGATTTTGTATCCTGAGACTTTGCTGAAGTTGCTTATCAGCTTAAGGAGATTTTGGGCTGAGACAATGGGGTTGTGAAAATGTTCAAAGGCCAGAAGATGTTAATTGTATCTTAATTTCCACTATTGGTCTTTATTACAATGTCATTAGACCCCCTTGATATGAAAAAACAATTGGATCATTTCTTAATGAATTCTTACCATCTCAGGTGTCTTTTTCCTTAAATTCTCCATATTAAAAAGGATTCATCTTAGTTCATGTAATAGAACCCTGAATAATAATGGCTTACATGCAATATGTTTTTCTCCACATAAAATAAGTCCACAAACCAGCAATAAAAGGAATATTGTAGCTTGCCACTTTTTTTTTTTTTTTTGGAGTGGCTGCTGGAAATCATGGAGGGGTAAAAGGGCAAATGCCCACGGAGGCATACCTGTGGATGCGGGCACTGTCTGTCAGCAGTCACAGTGGTCTTTCCCAACAATTTCATTTAAAATCCATTGTGCAGAGTTGGATCAAACAATCACTTCTCAGTGCCAGGCAATTTGGGAAATGCAGTTTTATAACTGAATATTGGGACATTCCTAAGAAGGTTAGGGTTCTCTAATGAGAGAGAGCAATGTAGTCCAGGCTATAACGACACATTTTTGTTTTTATTATTATTATTATCACTGTTACTAGAATATTACATATTCTTATGAGTTGAATTGTATTGCCTAAAAATTGGTATGTTGAAGACTTAACTCCCAGCACCTTAGAATATGACTATGTTTAAAGATTAGATCTTTAAAGAATTAATTAAATGACTGGGTGCAGTGGCTCACGCCTGTAATCCCAGCACTTTGGGAGGCCGAGGCGAGTTGATCATCTGAGGTCAGGAGTTCAAGACCAGCCTGGCCAAAATGGTGAACCCTGTCTCTACTAAAAATACAAAAATTAGCTGGGCATGGTGGTACATGCCTGTTATCCCAACTGCTTGAAAGGCTGAGACAGGAGAATTACTTGAACCCAAAGGCAGAGGTTGCCATGAGCTGAGATTGTGCCACTGCACTCCAGCCTGGGCAACAGAGCGAGACTCCGTTTCAAAAGAACAAAACCAAAAAAAAAAAAAAAAAAAGAGGTAATAAGTTAAAATGAGGTTGTTAGGGTGGGCTCTAATCCAATATGACTGGCCTCTTTAATAGAACACAGGCACACACAGGAAAAACCACATAAGAAGAAAGGGAGAAAATGACCATCTACAAGTTAGGAAAAGAGGCCTCAGAAGAAATCAATTCTGGCAACACTTTGATCTAGTTTAATTAGAATGATGCTATCTCATAGCATTTTATACTTGATATGCTTTTTTTTTTTTTTTTTTGAGAAAGGGTCTCACTCTGTCACCAAAGCTGGGGTGCAGTGGCTCAATGAAAGCCACTAAAGTTGAACTCCTGGACTCAAGTGATCCTTCCATCTCAGCCTCCTGAGTAGGTAGAATTACAGGTGCATGCCACCACACCCGGCTACTGTGTTGAACAGACATGGTTTCTCTATGTTGCCTAGGATGGTCTTGATCTCCCAGCCTCAAGCAATCCTCCCTGCTTCACTTTCCAAAGTGCTGGAGTTACAGGTATGAGCCACTGTGTCTGGCTTCTTTTTAATAACCAAGACTGAGATTCTGTCAATGTGAAATTGATGTGAAAGAACTTGGAAACACATGAAGTGACAAAATATATTTTAAAAAATGACTTTTGCCATAAATCTTTGTGTTACTCAATTTTTTTTTTTTTTTTTTCTGAGACAGAGTCTTCCTCTGTTGCCCAGGCTGGAGTACAGTGGCACAATCTCGGCTCACTGAAACCTCCACCTCCCGGGTTTAAGCAATACTCTTGCCTCAGCCTTGGGAGTAGATAGGATTACGGGCCCCCGCTACCATGCCCAGCTAATTTTTGTGTTTTTAGTAGAGGCGGGGTTTCACCATGTTGGCCAGGCTGGTCTCGAACTCTTGACCTCGTGATCCAGCCGCCCCAGCCTCCCAAAGTGCTGGGATTACAGGTGTGAGCCACCACGCCCAGACTTAAATTGTCTTTTTCTTAAATGTGTGTGGGCTATTTTACATGGAATTTCAATAATACAGTAAGGATTTAATGCAATAATATATGAATATGCTTTTTAGATTTATGACAGTATGATTAAGAAAAATTAATAAAGTTTTTCTAAGCTTTACCATGATTAGTATTTATTATAATCATCATTAAAGTATGCCCCATTTGTCTTGAAAAATATCAGCAAACTTCTTATGTTTGTTCTGTGGGGTTTTTTGTTTTCTATCTGCTAAAGCACATTATGCTCTTATAGAAAGTTTTGGATAATAATTTAAAGCATAAAATGTGTGACGAAAACATGACATTCCTGATAGTTTCCCCAAGAAAGGACATTGACTAAGAAAACAATGGCAGCAGTGCAGTTGATAAAAATACTTCAACACATCCAGCAGTGACTTTCAATATTATAGTTTGTAATCTGTTGCTAAAAATAACTGCGGAAAAGGAGGGGTAAAAAAATCAGCTTCATCCATGCCGACTCAATGTGCTTATAGCATTTATTTCTGTTCAATAGAATTACTGACCGGACTGTAAAAGTCAGGAAGAGTGAATTAAATGAAGTAAGGAATATTACTCTTAGAAGTGGGGCAGCTCCATCCTCCCATCAACATTGACAGTAACATCCTTCCTGGTATTATGAGAAGAGATCAGGAGTCAGCTTCCTTGATTACAGTTCAGATAAAATGCTTTCAGATTACCTTCCAATGTTAGAATTGGAGGATGGCAAGGATTTCTTTTAAAAATACAGAAACTGAACTAAATTACAATGTACCATAATGATGCTTTGATAGAAGTCTTACAGGCTTAAGCATGACATATAGGAAGTTTAAACATTTTAAAATATTCTAAAACATTATTTTTTCCTTGCATATTGACCCACCATTTGTTATGGGATATTTTTGTCTTTTAAAGTGTGTGTGTTCTGTGTGTATATTATGTTATATGTGTGTAATGCTACAGAAGTTGCCATTTACTTAACACCTATTGTGTGTCAGGCTCTTGTACTCACATCTTACACTACTTGACAAATGTGCTGAAGGTATATCCTTATTCCCATTGAACAGGGATAGTAAGACACTGAGGCTCAGAGACATTTAATATAGTTACTTCATTAGTAAGTAGCAAGGTCATTATTTGTCAAACTGGAAAATTATACTTTTACATAGAATATAAAAGCATGAAATGACTTATCTTAAGTTACAGAGCAAGTGATTGACAAACAAGATTCAATTTTTGGACCTTAACTGTGGGTTCAACACACAGAGCCACGTATTATTGATCTGAGAAAGTTTGTGTAGCCATAAACCATTTTCCACTGTGGGACAGAGATAGGTAGACAGGCATGTCTATTCAAAAGAATGTCCCCACAAGTAACTTAAAACATCTATACTAAAGTAAATTTTAAAAATTCTGTGAATGTGTGTGCCTATATATGTAAACAGTGTTTTGATGGGATCACATTTTTATCTTTTATAATTTAATTTATCCTTCTCTAGGAAAATCTCCCTAAGTAGAATAAATTTGAGCTCTGTGCATGGGAAAATTCACCAGATTGGGGAAAAAATTAATGTTTTCTACTTTTAAGGCCTGTCACTACTTTATCTACCACTTATTAGAGGAATAAAAGTTACCATTAAACTTCACTCTCCATGCATTACTGAGAGACAGGACTAGCTGGATTTCCTAGGCCAGCTAAGATTCCCTAAGCTTAGCTGGTAAGGTGACCGCGTCCACTTTTAAACACAGGGCTTGCAACTTAGCTCACACCTGACCAGTCAGAGAGCTCACTAAAATGTTAATCAGGCAAAAACAGGAGGTAAAGAAATAGCTAATCTTCTATCACCTGAGAGCACAGCAGGAGGGACAATGATAGGGATATAAACCCAGGCATTCGAGCCAGCAACGGCTACCCTCTGGGTCCGGACCCTCCCTTTGTATGGGAGCTCTGTTTTCACTCTATTAAATCTTGCAACTGCACTCTCTTCTGGTCCATGTTTGTTACGGCTCGAGCTGAGCTTTTACTTGCTGTCCACCACTGTTGTTTGCCGACGTCGCAGACCCGCCACTGACTTCCATCCCTCCGGATCCGGCAGGGTGTCCGCTGTGCTCCTGATCCAGTGAGGTGCCCATTGTCGCTCCTGATGGGGTTAGAGGCTTGCCATTGTTCCTGCATGGCTAAGTGCCCGGGTTCGTCCTAATCGAGCTGAACACCAGCCACTGGGTTCCACGGTTCTCTTCCATGACCCACGGCTTTTACTAGAGCTATAACATGCACCGCATGTCTCAAGATTCCATTCCTTGGAATCCGTGAGGCCAAGAACCCTAGGTCAGAGAACACGAGGTTTGCTACTGTGTCTGGAATTGGTGGGTTCTTGGTCTCACTGACTTCAAGAATGAAGCCGCGGACCCTCGTGGTGAGCGTTACAGTTATTAAAGGCAGCGTGTCCAGAGTTTGTTCCTTCTGATGTTTGGATGTGTTCAGAGTTTCTTCCTTCTCGTGCGTTCCTGGTCTGGCTGGCTCAGGAGTGAAGCTGCAGACCTTCGCGGTGAGTGTTACAGCTCTTAAGATGGCGCGTCTGGAGTTGTTCGTTCCTCCATGACCCACAGCTTTTACTAGAGCTATAACATGCACCACACGTCCCAAGATTCCATTCCTTGGGATCCGTGAGGCCAAGAACCCCAGGTCAGAGAACACGAGGCTTGCCACCATCTTGGAAGCGGCCTGCTGCCATCTTGGGAGCTCTGAGAGCAAGGACCCCCCCACAACTGCCCATAACATCACTACCCTTGGAATGGACTGATTGAAGCTTGGGCAGTATAGAACTGCCACACAGCCATATGTCTATGAATTTATTTTTGAAGACTTGAAAAACTAAGAAAGCTTATTATAGAATATAACCATATTGAAATGATATCATGACACAGAAACTATTTTAGCCACAGAAATAATCATTAAAAATTAGATACTTCTTATTTGGTCTTGGAATTATCAGAAAAGTTCTATAAAAATTCAGCAAATATGTTGATAAACATGCAAATAACTTTTGCAAGATAAAAATGATTCTGAAAACTGGCCAGAAGTTTATCAAGCAAGACAAAAAAAAAGAAAAATACAAGAATAAAGAGTGTAAGTGCGTATAAGGTAGTTCATAGAGTCAGGTACCATACAAGATATTGGTAACATTGACTCTTCAGAGAACTATTGTATAACCTAAATGATGGTACAGTGCCATTTAATGTAACTCAGGTTGGGGGGATCAGGGGAGAAGTTATTGAAAGGTATCAGAAGAAAAGTATTAGGTTTCTCATGTAAGGACTGATTGATGATGTGCTACTAAGTATATAAAATAGATATAGTTTAAACCAAGCAAATACAACATTCTTAAAATATAAGAATATAGTTTGTAGAGTATGAACCTACTCTCTGACTTGAGTATGCTGGGATTTCATACCAGATAGAGGGCTTTATTTAGACCTCTGATGTGCTGTGGAAGAAATACAAAATTATGGCAAAATACCCAACACATCTAGACAAATCTATCACTCTGGTAAGTTTGACTGTTTTGAGAAAAAAGGTATACTTTAGAATTGCCTATTCTCATTTTCCCATTTCACTCATCAAATAACTATAAATCCCCCTCCGCTGACCTTTTCTGATATCTGCAGTAAATCTCTGCCCATAATCTCCATTTCTTTCATGCTGTGTAGGTAAGAGGGTCATTCAATAGAGCTAAGAAAAGCCTGAGCTGTTACTGGGTATGCAAGAGCACAAAAGGAACTTTATGAAGTACATGGTTTAATGCCTCTTCTAGAAAAATGGGTGTTCCAATGGAATCACATCTGAGTGTAATTTATACCAAAACACACACACACACACACACACAAAACACAGCTAGTATTTTTTTAGGATAAAGTTAAATGTATCTGTGTGGCCAGGTAGGGTGACTCATGCTTGTAATCCCAGCACTTTGAGAGGCGAAGGTGCCAGGACTGTTTGAGGCCAGGAGTTCAAGACCAGCCTGGGCAATATAGCCAGACCCCTTTTCTTAAAAAAAAAAATTAATAAATATATCTGTTTCTAAAACTAATTTTTATAGAAATTTACATATTTGAAATATGAAATAATTATGAACAATACATACATCTATATGCAAATAAAACATTGTTTTAATGTAAATGACATTACTGAAGTTATTAAAGACCTGTACTAAAGTAAATATGTTTATAGGAAATATAATAGAGAAAACCCCATTTCTTAAATAAATTAATAAATATACCTGTGTTTGTAAAACTAATCTTTAATAGAAATTTACATATTTGAAATAAGAAATAATTAGTCAAAGAAAATGAACAATACATACATCTATATGCAAATAAAACATTGTTTTAATGTAAATAACATGACTAAAGTTATAAAAAACTGTACTAAGGTAAATATGTTTATAGGAAATAGAGAAAACCTTATTATCTTATATTTTTGATTTCAAATTGTTAAAAATATCATTAATAAATTTAATAGACATATGACATAACATAACTGTTTCCATAAGAAGAGATACAACTAATATCGAATATAGCAAATTATATTTAACAACCAGAGTTTAAATTAAGAAAACACAAATAAAAGAATAATGAAACACCCATAAAATTAATAAAAATGTAAAGTAACACTACTATCTGCTTCCTAGAGTATACTAAAATTCATATATTACTGTAGATAGTGTAAATAGTTACAATTATTTTGGTGAGTGGTTGAAAATATGCTAAAAGTATTGGGAAAAGGTTTTAGATTTTTGTGATTCTTTGTTTATTTAAACTATTTGCTTGTAGATATGATAATTTACCTTAACAGGGGAGATATTCTACATAAGAGAAAAATTTAATTCATAAAAGTATTTCTTGCCCTATTATTTACAAGGAGAAAATCTTAAATATCTAATGATAAAAACCCTGTGATTAATTTTAAAATTTAAGATGGTACTTTAGAATGCTAGTTTGCCATCTTCTCAGTTTGCTTGCTCTCCAATTAAAGCTGCTTCTCCTCCCACCAATCCTTGCCTCTTGTGTCTGGCTTTCAAGCAGCAAGCAGCAGAACCTGGGTCCAGTTACAATTCAAAGGAAATTGCATTTTCAAAAAAATAACAGCAGAGCCAAGTAGGCTACATTTGATGACTTAATTCTGCAGTACAAAATGAAGAACTTGATTCAAAACGGACCTATCAGGAAAGAACAAACTGCCCCAGTGAGTTATGTGTATCAGGGCATCCTTGTTGATTCTTACTACCTTAGTCTCTTTAAAAATATAAATTGTCTGTATGCTTCTGGCTTTTTTCCATAAAGAATATTAACAATCCAAATGCTAAAGCATCAGAGTCTCAGAAAATGGTCTCAGCAAAACCATTAAGCCCAGAGACTTTTCATTCTGTGGCACCTTTACAATATTCTGCATTTCTTTTTCTTTTAGGATGTCTACCAACAAATGTTTGCACATGTATTTTTTGACTAGCACCTCAATGGCAGACAACTTCCACCCTGCTTCTTTACCCTCAAACTTTTAATTACTCTAAAGTCATAATAGTTCACCGCTTGCCTATCTCCACCCACTCTTCTCTTGCACATACCAGGGGGTCTGTGGGCAGCTTGTCTTTTGATGCACCTTCTCATTCATTAAGTATTGGCAATTAAGCAGTGAACAAGACAAATCCCTGATCTCATGGAGCTTACATGTTAATTAAAATTGGTATATTTGCCTTTATATTCCATGAAATATCCCTTACTATACATGAACATGCCTAGTTTTGCTTCATTTAACATTTTGTAATAAAATTTGGAATTAAAAAAACAATGTAATTAAACATGTCATTAAGATATGTAAGTAAAACATGTCATTATAATAGAGCAGAAAAGAGAGAAACAGATTAGTCTGTTAGGACCAGAGAAAGCTTCAGAGAGGAAGCAATATCTGAATATTAGTAAATAGCAAGTTGACAATCACAAACTATTCAGCTCATCTTTACCTGTGAATGTGACATGAAATTATCTCTTAATAAAAATGAGTAAAATCCATACATTTATATTCTACCTACTATTTGCTTGGTACACGGAAGAATATATGCAGTTGAGCCATGAAACATTGTTACAGTCTTATCTGCCAGTTATGTTTGCATACATTTGTGGTGCTTGACAGGAATTTTGAATTAAAAAAGCAATAGTGTTACCCAGAGAAATTCTGGCTGCTTGACTATTTCTGATTATTCGAGAAAGGAAGAGCTCCTATATTTACATTTATAAATATTTTAGAAGACAAGGAGTTGAGTTTATGCATGTTAATCCCCTTTCTTATTTCTCAAATTATTTGCCATAATTTCATCATGCAATTCAGATTTTTAATATTTTAATTTGGGGTTGTAGTGGCATTTGTGTAGTGCTAAAGTCATATCAGATACTTTCTCTCCTTAGAAGAAAGTTACTTTTTCGGGCCATTTTCCTAAAATGTGAAACTATCTTCAAGGCAAGCCAGAGTAATTGTCCATTTAATTTGGCATTTTTCTGGAACAATGATTTCCCAAAACAAGGCTTTTCCTATTAAATGCAATGACATTTGTGCCCAAAAGATTTTCCTGGAGGATTGGTTTCCTACTGTGGAGCAAAGTTTTGAATGAGCCACTTAGATTACATTACAGATTGAGGACAAACTCTATTCCAAATACACTACAGTCCTCTCAGCTACACTCGTTATTCAATGCCTTAATCCCCAGAACAGTAGACGGAGACACATCCTGCCTTTATGCATAGAAAATGATGATCTGAAAAGAATCTCAAAATGTCAATGTATTAGCAGTGGTGAATCTGTATGGATTTGAAACAACCTCAATTCTTGCCTCCTCAGAAGAAGGAATTTGACTGAGGGGCATAGGGCAGAGAGAGAGACTGAAGCAAGTTTTAGAACAGGAGTAAAAGTTTATCTAAAAGCTTTACAGCAGGAATGAAAGGAAGTAAAATACACTTGGAAGAGGGCCAAGTGGGCGACTTGAGAGATCAAGTGTATGGTTTGCCATTTGACTTGGGATTTTATATGTTGGCATGGTTCCAGGCTTTTGAGTTACTTCTCCCCTGATTCTTCCTTTGGGGTGAGCTGTCCGCAAGCACAATAGCTGCCAGCAATTGGGAGGGGCTGTGTGTGCAGTGTTTACTGAAGTTGTACACATGCTCACTTGAGGCATTTTTCCCTTAGCAGCTGAGTGTTGCCAGTTAAACTCTGCAGTTTTGCCTCTTAGTGAGCACGCTTGAGCCCACTTGTCTGACTCCTGAGATCTTATTGGGAAGATGCTGATTACCAGTTTCAGATGTCTCTGTCTATTATTATTATTATGGAGGTGGCTGTGACCAATTATTATTTTAGAGAGACAGTTTAATAAACAACTGACATCACTTGACGGTTGTCTGACATTCCTGGTGAAGGGCACTTCTCCTGACCTGCTTAAGTCTGATTAGCTACCTGCTATATCAAATGTAGTAGAGTGAGGGCACGTGTACCCCCTCATAATATAAAAATTATATATATGCTATTATATATAATTCTATTAATATCTTAAATTCATAATTAGATTATAATTAATAGCCATAATACATGATTATATGTATGAGATCTAAAAAAAAATAGATAATATACAATTATATGTTATTCATATAATTAATGTAATAGTGTATACTTATAATTAACGTATTAATGGAATACATTACATAAAATATTCTATATTATATTTATATATAAGATATGGTGACAATAGTGAATATCTTAAGGAAAAGGTCTGCTTTAAACAAGTTAATAATAAACATATGTGCAACATTTTTTGTTTATTTAGTTGACATAACTTATTTGATGAATAAGTTAAAACCTAATTACTATTTTATTAAGGTTTAGTTAAATTTTAATTTTGGTTTTGATTTAATTTTAATTTTTGCTTCATATAATAATGAAGGCTAGATTTGTCCCTGCATTACTCTATGTGTATATACAAAAATAATTATAATACTCATAAGAAAAGTCTAATATGTTTATTATCAAAATTATTTTATTTGGTTACATTATAAAATATATCTCTCAAAGTCTATGGTCTTTCTGGAAGCACAGGAAGACGTTTTCTGTATCTTCTTGTCAATTTATACACCATTCTACTGTCAGACTTTCTTTTCTCTTTTTTATTTTTTTGTGAGACGGAGTTTCACTCTTGTTACCCGGGCTGGAGTGCAATGGCAGGATCTCGGCTAACTGCAACCTCCGCTTCCCTGGGTTCAAGGGATTCTCTTGCCTCAGCCTCCCGAGTAGCAGGGATTATAGGTGCCCACCACCACGCCCAACTAATTTTTGTATTTTTACTAGAGATGGGGTTTCATCATGTTGGCCAGGCTGGTTTCAAACTCCTGACCTCAGGTGATCCGCCCGCCTCAGCCTCCCAAACCTCAGGTTATCTCAATATTTCACAACGCAGAAAAAATATGTAACTATAAAAAAGATGTTTTCTTTCCTAAGATGGCAGATCAGAGGATTTTTGCATGCCTCAACCACTTGGAAGTAGCAATATAGTGTACAAAGATCAATTTTCTGAGTTAATTCAAGAAGGAAAATGGGAATTCATCAGAATTATGAAGGACACCCAGATCCAAGGGAGGAAAATGTGGGCAAACAGCCCTTGTGACAGCATCCAAGTGACAAAAAGGAGAGAAGCCCCAGTACGTGAAAGAGACAGAGTGTGTCCCTCTGTAACTCACCTTTCCACTGGTGATCCAATCAACCCAGGCCAAGGGAGAGCACTTTATTTTCCAAAGCCCTGAAGCTATCATGGAGAGAGAATTGGAGGCACTGAGAGGGAAAGACACCTGAAATAGCTGCAGGCATTTTTCCACACCTGAGCCCAGGAGCAGGATGCCATTTATAATTTGGGTGCATACAAAGTCAGCCATTCTTTGGCAACATGGCAACGTGGCCACACAGGGGTTTTAGTCTTGGGCCAGAGATTAGGGTGCTTACTCTAAGTGGAGTAGCAGCTGTTACAACCAAAACTGTGGAAAACGCCTCAGCAATAGGTACTGGAATTGTGCTCTCTGTTGCAGATCTGGGGAAGGAGAGCTGCTACAGCTACAGTTTCTCCTTGGTGATGAGACTTGAAGTCACGGCCAGCTTGGCAACCTGGAACTGGTCTGCATGTGCCATTGCCCAGTGCCCCCTGAGATTGTGATGCAGCTGAGCACACACTTGCCTGGACCAGCATCCTGAGCAACTCCAGCCTTCCTAGGCATAGATCATGGTTCAGTGGGGCCCTCTCTCTTCTATAACCAGGCAGATTGCCAGGCATTCAGAGCACCTACTTGCCTGGATCAGTAGCCTGAGCCACTCCACCAGTCCTGTGCAGAAATCATGGCCCAGTGAGCACCTTTCTTCTTCACATCCAGGTAGATCTCCAGGCTTTAGAATCAACTGCTCACCTCTGAGTCACCTCTCCTCTGCAGAGATCTTGGTGCAGGCCTTCTTTACTGCATGTCCAGGCACACCTCCAGGCATCTGGAGAATCTTCTCTTCTGGACTGACAGCCTGAGCTGCCCCATTCTTCCTGCATGGAGATCATGGTGAAGCAGGACGCTCTCTGCCACATGCCCAGACAGATCTCCAGGCATTTGGAGCACCCACTCACCGGGACCAGTAGCCTGAGCTAACCCACCCTGTCTTTGTGGAGACTGTGGTGCAGGGGTCCCTCTGTTCCACACTCACATAGATCTCCAGGCAATTGGAGCATCAGCTCACCTGAATTAGCAACCAGAGCCAGCCCAATCTTTCTGTGTAGAGACTGTGTTGAAGCAGAGCTGCCTTCTCCACCTCATGCCCAAATATCCAGGCAGTTGGAGCACCCATTCACTCAGATTACCAGCCTGAACCACCACACACTTTCTCAAGATATTGTGGTATAGTGGGGCCCTCAGCACTCCATGCCCAGGCAAAAAATTCCAGGCACCTGGAGCACCCACTCTTCTGAACTGGGAATTTAGACTGCTCCCCCTACCCATGCAGAGACTTAGGGCTAAAGAGATCTCCCAGCTTCATGTCTAGGCACACCTCAAAGCACTTGGTGGCCACCCACTGGATTCTCTCTCAGCACTGGAGCTTGTGGCTAACATCACAGGACCTGCAGGTGGAACTGCCCTGTCTGGCCCTGCTCGTCTTAAGCCTCACACCCCTGGGGCTGAGCAGGTAGCTCAGACCACTGTGTGCTCCATAGATCAACCCATTGTCTGAGGTAACATAGAGCTTCCCCTGTAAAGAGGGATCAATTATATACCCAGCCATCTTGGCCACAGCTGGTTCTTACTGATAAGTGCCATCTATTGGCTTGTAGGTCGAACTTCACAGCCCAGTATAAAACCTGCTACAAGAAGTGCAAAAGGCTATACAAGCAAAGCCAAAAGACCCTCCCCCAAGCATCGTCTACAGTCACACTCCTAGGGGGGAGGGAAAATGGGAAGGAAAATGAAAATGATATTATAGAGAAAGAAAGAAAAAGAAAAAATTCTACCCACAAGAAAATAAATACAAAATTAGAAGTGCTGTCATCTCCAGATGATAAGAAACCAGCACAAGAATTCTGCCACCATGAAAATTCTGAATGCGTTGACACCACCAAAGGGTCACACTAGCACTCTAGCAATGTCCCATAACCAAAATGGAAACTCAGAAATGACAGATAAAGAATTCAAAGCATGATTGCAAGGAAGGTCAATGAGATGCAAGACAAGATTGAGAATCAACACAAAGAAACTTCTAAAGCAATTAGAAAATGGTGGAAGAGATAAACATTTTAAATAGAAATCAGTCAGAGCTTCTAGAATTGAAAAACTCACTTAAGGAATTACAAAATACAACTGAAAATCTAGAAGCATTCCCCTTGAGAGCTGGAACAAGACAAGAAAGCTCATTCTCGCTGTTCCTACTCAACATAGTACCGGAAATCCTTGACAGAGCAACTAGGCAAGAGAAAGAAATAAAAAGCACCTAAATAAGAAAAGAAGTCAAATTATCTCTCTTCAAAGACTACATGATTCCATACCCAGAGAACCCTAAAGACTCTTCCAAAAGGCTCCTGGAACTGATAAACCACTTTGATAAACTTTCAGGATACAAAATTGTATTGGTCCATTCTCACAGTACTATATAGAAATATCTGAGACTGGGTAATTTATAAAGAAAAGAGGATTAATTGTCTCTTTTCTGAAGGCTGTACAGGAAGCATGATGCTGGCATCTGCTCAGCTTCTGGGGAGGCCTCAGGAAACTTGCAATCATGGCAGAAGACAAATGGGAACAAGCACCTCAAGTGGCCACAGCAAAAGAAAGACAGAATGGAAGATAGTGCTCCATGCTTTTAAACAACCAGTTGTCATGATAACTCACTCACTCACTATCACAAGAGCAGCACTGAGGGGATGGTGCTAACCCATTCATGAGATCTTGCCCCCTTGAGCCAATCACTTCCCTCCAGGCCCAACCTCCAGCACTGGGGATTACAATTTGACATGAGATTTGGTGAGGACACAGATCTAAACAATATCAAAACTCAGTGTACAAAAATCAGTAGCATTTATGTACACCAATCAGATGCAAGCTAAGAGCCAAACCAAGAACATAATCCCACTTACAAAAGCCACAAACAAAGGTACCTGGGAATACATCTAACCAAGAAAGTGAAAGATCTCTAAAGGATAACTGCAAAACTCAGCTAAAAGAAATCATAGATGACACAAACAAATGGAAAAATATTCCATCCTCCTGGATTAGAAAAATTAATATTGTACTACCTATAGCAATATACAAGTTCAATGCTATTTCTATCAAACTACCAGTCATTTTTCACAGAATTGGAAAAAAAACTAATTCTAAAATTCATATGGAACCATAAAACAGCCCAAATAGACAAAGCAATCCTAAAGAAATAGAACAAAGCCAGAAGCATCACATTACCCAACTTGAAACTATACTATAAGGCTACAGTCACCAAAAAACCATGGTACTGGTACAAATACAGACATATAGGCCAATGGAACAAATAAAGAATCCAGAAATAAAGCTGCACACCTACAGTCATCTGACCATGTACAAAGTCAACAAAAATAGGCAACAGAGTAAGGACTATTCAGTAAATGATATTGGGATAGATAGCTAGCCACTTGCAGAAGAATGAAACTGGACCTCTACCTTTCACCATATACAAAAATTAACTCGAAGTTGATGAAAGGTTTAAATGTAGGATCCTAACTTATAAGAATCCTAGAAGAAAACCTGAGGAACACCACTCTGAACATTGGCCTTGGGAATGAATTTATAACTAAGTCCTCAAAAGCAACTGCAACAAAAACAGAAATTGAAAAGTGGGACCTAATTAAACTAAAGAACTTCTGCACAGCAAAACAAACTAAACAGACAACCTACAGAAGAGAATATTTGCAATCTGTGGATCCAACAGAGATCTACTATTAAGAATATATAAGGAAGGTAATTGATTCAACAAGATAAAAATTAAAATAGTTAAATATGGGCAACACACATGAACAGACACTTTTCAAAAGAAAACATACAAGCAGTCAACAAACATGAAAAAATTCTCCATATCACTAATACTCAGAGAATTACAAATCAAAACCAGAATGAGATACCATCTCACACGAGTCAGAACAGCTGTTATTAAAATGTCAAAAATTAACAGATGCTGGCAAGGCTGTGAAGAAAAGGGAATGCTTATACACTGTTGGTATGAATGTAAATTAGTTCAGCCACTGTGGAAAGCAGTTTGGAGACTTCTCAAAGAACTTAAAAACAGAACTAGAACTATCATTTGACCCAGCAATTCTATTACTGTGTTTATATCCAGAAGAAAATTAATTGTTCTACCAAAAGACACATAGAATTGTGTGTTCATTGCAGACTATTCACGATAACAAAGACATGGAATCAACCTAGGTGCCCATCAACAATGAATTGGCTAAAGAAAATATGATACATATACATCATGGAATGCTACGCAGCCATAAAAAAGAGTGAAATCATGTCCTTTGCAGCAACATGGATTGTACTGGAGGCCATAATCCTTAGTGAATTAGTGTAGGAACAGAAAACCACATACAGCACATTCTCATTTATAAGTGGGAGCTAAATATTGGATGCTCATAGACAGACAGATGTCAATAATAGACACTGGAGGAAGGGAGAGTGGCAAGGTTGAAATACTACCTGTTAGGTACTATGCTCACTACCTAGGTAATGGGATCACTTATATCCCAAAGCTCAGCATCATGCAATATATGCTTGTAACAAACCTGCACATGTACCTGCTGAATTTAAAATAAGAGTTGAAATTATTTAAAAAAAAAAACCACTTTTTACAGTTTTTAGAAAAAATGGAAAATGTCAATATTTCCTTAATACCATCACATATCCATGTTCATAGTTCTGTGATTATTTTATAAATGTATCTCTTTTGTTTGAATTATATACAAATTAAATCCATATGTTGCAAAATAATATGACTTCTAATGTACTGAATCAAAGATGTAAACAGTAAAAGAGAAGGAATCAAATATACAAACTGTAAAGGATAAGTCACAATTATTGTATAATAGAAAGATAAACATTGCATAATTTTTATTAATATAGTAAAGAACTCAAAAACTGGTCTACTACTAACGTAAGCTCCTCTACTTTCTTTTTTTTTCTACTTCTGATATTAAATGAGGCAATGAGTTATGAATGAGTGATGTACTGTCATACTCTGATGCCCTCCCTTCAATAAACACATAAAATGCCATTTGAAATAATATACTCTCCAAATAATTAAATGTAATTTATTTTGTACTTGCTATGTGATTTGCATAGTATTAGTTAGACTAATTAGCTACACTAATTAGTATACTAATATAACTATATAATAGTAATTAATTAGTATAACTAATAGTTATACTAATAGTTATACTAATGAGGCAGAGAGGTACTGTCTTCAAGGAACTGGTTATTTTGTTTCTTAACAAATAAGAGGAGAATAATTAAAAGTATATAAAATAACATAAAATAAAAATATGAAAATTAACATAATTTATAATAGAATATTGGCACATTATATAAACAGATAATTCATAAAAGAAATAATACATAAAAGAGAAATATGACAAATAACATTCAGTGATAGTGAAACTTCATGAAATAATACTTTCATTCTATTGCTGGTGAAATAAAAATTAGTAAGCTTTCAGTGGTGATTTTTTATAATAGTCATATCCTTTGACCTGGTCATTCTACTCTTAGGACAGAAATTAACTAGGGAGATGCTCAGAGATGTAAGTTATAAGGTCGAAAGCTGTAGCATTATTTATATTGTTAATATAATGTATTTATCCAAGGGAGTTGTATGCAGGAGTGAAAAATACCATTTAAAAATATATATTTAATGATGTAGAATGCTGTTACATTAAATAAAAGTTGCATAACCACATATGGAGTAGGAACTCAATTTTATAAATATTGGAAAAGGAAACAATAATTCTGTTTATTTCATTTCCCCAAGTTTCTAATTTGAAAGTCAATGCTGGAAAAGGGGTTGTAAATCCCATTTGAATTTAGAGGTTCTTGCTCTCCACTAATGTTCAGGGTGGCTTTTAGCAAACCACACAAGCATTCATTTCCTTCATTAGTGAAATGGAATCAGTACCATCTGACTCAATCCCACCCCATACCCAGGACACTATGAGGACTGTACACAACAATGCATATGAAGAGAATGGCTATAGACATTAATTTACCATTTACATTATTTCTCTTTTTTCTCTTCCTATATCTTTATTGTTCATTCTCTTTCCTTCATTATACTAAAATGATTACCAAATGAAAGATTAAATTAAGATAATTCAATACTTTCATTCACCCTTTACTAGAAAGATGAGACAAGACCAAACTTTTCAGAATATACAATTCCCTGATTAGAGAAAGAAAAGTCCTCCTACTTTTCCTACTCTAATTTCTTATCTAAACCCCAGGATAAAGAGAGTAAACCGTTTTGATGATTCCTTAAAAAACAATGCCCATCAGTACCCCAGGTAGAAGAGAGGGTGTTTAAACATATGTATATTGTGTACATTTCTAACTTGGAAGAGGAAAAATAGTTTAGCATGTGTCAAAACTTGTTTAATAAAATGACTTGTTTGCATAATGTACACATATATAACCAACACATATGATTATTGGATGATAATTGGGCTTTGAAGTGCTCCTTTCCAAACATTATTTTATTTTGCTTTTTAAATAAATACATCAGCCTGTATTTCTCTAAAATTGAATTGCTTGTACATCTTCTGAGACTTGTTTCATAAAATGTTTTAGCAAATCAAAAGTTTTACAAGCAATTCCGACTGAGTTTTGGAGGGGTTTTTTTGTATTTATTTATCTTAATTATTTAAAAGAATATTAATTATTATTATTATTTTTTTGAGAGACAGGTTTTCCTCTGTTGTCCAGGCTGGAGTGCAGTGGCATAATCATAATTCACTGCAGCCTCAAATTCGTGGGCTCAAGCAATCCACCCATCGTAGCCTTCTGATTACTTGAGACTACCAGGAGCACACCACTGTGCTAGGCTAATTTTTAACTTTTTTTTGTAGACATGGGGTCTCCCTATGTTGCCCAGGCTGGTCTTGAAATTCTGAGCTCAAGCAATTCTCCTGCCTTGACATCCCAAAGTGTAGGGAGAACAGGCATGAACCATCACGCCTGAACAGTATTCTTTTTGTTTTTTTTACTATAAAAAGTAGAACAGTATTTGATTATGTTACTTCAGAAACAGAGAGCAATAAAACCTGTAGAAACCAAACAATTTGCCTTTTTAAAAAATAATTCCAAGAAACTTCTATAGATCCCTTTATAAGAAAACAATTTCCATCAAAAATGAGGCCAATTATATTTTGGTTGTGAAGTTGATGTCTAATTATACTTTTCTTACCATCTTTGCCTGGTTATCTGTTTTAATTACAGCTTCTCTCAAGAGTCATTTCTTTTTTCCTTTCTTTCTCCATACGGAAAATGTTTGCAGCTACAATAAATACACTGACCAGAGAGTCTCAAACCAATTAACTGCCCTACTTAAGGGAATCCACCTTAGTTTTTGTAGCTGAAACAACAATATAAATGATATGATAGAATGAAACATAAATGGATGAATAATATGACCATGCAGAACTATATTATTTTTTTCATGATTTCTTTTGACAATACAGCATATGAAGATTCTATTTAATTAGACTAAAAGGGTTATATATGCATTAGCTGAATCAAATATTAAAGTATTATGAAAGCTTATTTTAATGCTAGATTTTGGTTATGTAAAAATGTATTCAATATTATGTACCAGAAAGCACTGTAGTCTTGGCATTTCATTATTGTCAAGATAAAGCACAGCTTCTGGATAGGTTGCAGCATGTCTGAAGAAAAGGCACATATTAAGCTTAAATTTCAGCTTTAATTATCCATGTTTGCTACCTACAGCCCAGATTTACTATTTAATTGTCACATTCTCAATTTATTTCTCTCATGGGAACCCAATTCAATGTTATTTTTCCTTCTAGAATTCTAATGCCATAAAATTTATAATCATACAAACAACATATGTTATCTGTAGTAGTCACAAATTTAAAAAAATTCTGGATATTTTAATATGTATTATAAGAAATACTTTACTGCATGTACTTCAAATCTTAGAATTTTGTTGAGTTTTCCTGCTAATTACATGAAACATTTTTGACCACCTGTTATGCTAGATATGAAGGAAGCTAAGTGATAAATTTATGATCCCCTGTTTCCATCTAGGAAATTGTTGGAGACACAAGTAAAGCTAGATCCCTTAAGTAAATGGTGGCTTAATTCCATCTTTACTTTCCTCGGGGAAAGGCATTCTATCAAAAGAGTTGGTAAAAGCTTGGATAATACTAGTCTTTCTACCTTACATGTACTTCACAAACACTAAAGACAATAATTACAAGCAAATGTTCTTTTTCTTCTCCTCCTTTTTCTTTCTAATGGCTTTAAATCGTTAAAGTGAGACTCACACACTTTACCAAGATCACATTAAACCTAGAAACCTAGGTCTCTTGAGCCTCCCTAAGAGCTGAGCCCATAAAACAACAGTATCTCTTATCAAACATCTTAATCAAATGCATATATTTTCAAATATTTTTTCAATAAATTGACTCTGACATCTTACTTTGTTGTGCAAACATTCATTATTTTCATTTTAGCAATGCAGTCACTTAAATAACTGGAAAGATTGTTGAAAGTGAAAGGCTCTATCATGTAATGTCTAACATTAAGGACCCATGTAATATGGATTTAATATTTGGCATCAATTTTGTACAGCTTTCAGAGTTTCACGTATTAAGTCATCAGATATATTTAATCAACAACATTATATCAGTGATAGAGTCAAAGGCTCTTTCAATCCATAAA
This sequence comes from Homo sapiens, assembly GCF_000001405.40. Taxonomy (NCBI): domain Eukaryota; kingdom Metazoa; phylum Chordata; class Mammalia; order Primates; family Hominidae; genus Homo; species Homo sapiens. Next base: position 53,675,256 of record NC_000010.11, read on the forward strand.
AAGTAAGGGTTCTCTATGTAATGGTAGACATAGCCCTTTCAATCCAGTTAAGAAGTAGTAGTATTTTTTTTTAATCTAGTGGGTGTGTCATCTCTTTTATGCAACAGTAAAGCAGCAGCTGTCAAAGAGCCTTACAGATTGTGATTTTATGGTTTGCTTCAATTACTGGCAGTTGATTCTAAACTGTAAAGAATAATTTTATGCTTGATCATAAAAGAAATGTGTGAGTGTACAATACAGGAAATCCACTTGAAGAAAATATACAACCAGTTTTTGTTGTTGTAAAATCTATCTTCATAGCTTCTCTATGTTGAGTAACTCTCCATTAAACTCTGCCTTTGATTCACATCTTGAAAAGTCAATAACCTCTTCCTTAGAATTTGGTCAGTAAGTAAGTGTATACACTGCTTATGGCTATAGTTGGTATATACATTTTAACTGCATTGGGATTTAATATCTGTTCGGCAGTTGTGAAGCTGTAACATTTGAATACCCGATTTTGACAAAGTAAGGGACATTTCTAATGTATACAAAGACACTATAATCTAGACCACTATGACATATTCTATAGCTGGCAGGGTTTTGTTAGGCTTATTTTTGTTATTAAAAAATGGCACACTGTTGCCAGACTTGTTTTCTAGTCTTGAACTGCTATATATTTCTGAAAAGATGTACAATTAATATGCAGAGTCATGCAATATAGATCATCTCTCTGTTCCATCTCCTAATTAAATATAAAGTTTCCTTATTTTCATAAAGACTGCTATGTTGTAACATGAGTACACTGATACTGCTTCACCCTGCCAATATGGAAGACAAAAATCAAAAGCCCTGAAATACAGGATCCTTAGAAGTCAAGTTGAGCATATCAAAATAAGATATTACAGGTTTCTTGTAATCAAGAGATCTTTTTAAAGCCTATCTTTAGAAGAATCTAGTCAGTTGATGACAGATAGCTTCTATAAGAAGCACAACCTAATTGCACCTTTTAACAAAATTGCATGGATTAGGATTTCATTCAAACAAAGAAATCAAGTCAATTCCCTGTGACAAAAGTTTCTGTGAGAGATAGTTCATCTTAATTTCAAAGGATGACCCTATAGTAAATTCTGAAGAATCTTTTCCAAAAATATTGCCATTCTGGGTGTTACCATGTGAGATATTTGAATTAAATTGACTAGTTCAAAAGGAGGCACTTGATTGAATTTTAGCACCCACTCTCCCTCTCTCTTTCATGCAGCACCTATGAGAGCTAATGACAGCTGAAGTTTCCTTTGGGAAATATCTGTAGCTATCTCAAAATTCTTTTTCTCTGCTGTAGATTTTAGTGCTCAATTCTCTATGAGAAAAAGCCCTAACAATGTTTGTGAACACAAAGTGAATACTGTATATACAGCTGTGAACATGCTTAGTTGAATCTCTGGATGGAATATTTTTATAGGGAACAAAAATTCGCCATAAGCTTACTACCTATTTTCATTTTTCTTCCCCATAATAAAACAGTGGGAAGAAAGGAGATTATAAAACATTAATGGTCCTTTTTAAAAAGTTGAGTAAACAGCATCTGTAATTATTTTGCAGAGAAATGCTCCTAATTGAAAGAAAATCATTCTATTAGCACACATACCTGCGGCTGCACAAATGGTCTATTACTTGCTGAAGAATTTAATGCTGATACAAGGCTGAATCTCCAGTTTATCTCCTTAAAGAATGACCACTTGAAAATTCTGCCTTAGTTTTGCCTCTGTTGCTTACTGAGTTATCTCAGAGTGATCATGGCAGGGTACCAAAGGGGAAGTATAGTTTTACTACAATATTTGTCTCTGCAGACTTTATAGTCCTGGGTTATTTTCTGGATCAAAGAGAAATAAAAATCACTCTCTTCTCAAAATAATCAGAATCCAGTTACCCCAGTATCAGATCACAAAATTTTCTTTAAGATCTTAAAGCACAGCCATACTAGTCATCACAGGAGGAGAACAAGTGAAACACACCATTCCTTTTATTTGGAGAAATTGTCACTTGGGATTTTATTTAAAAATATTTTAAGGGCCACTTCCTTCTTGAAAGCTTTAACATGTGAAATGAGGTTATTTTCTCATACTAGTCCAATATTGTGCCTACTTACCCGTATTCCAAAGGTTGATGTACATAATGGTTTACTATCAAAACAGCAATAAAACAATAGGAAATTAACAAGAGTCATGAGATGTACGTCATTGATTCTGTACCGAACACTTTGCAAAATATTTTGTTCTTTGTATGCATATGGATTTGCTTATTTGTTTCTTCTGGCAATATAACCGTATTAATTTCCATTTATTTATGTAAAAGTCAAAAACTCACAAGCACATTGCTCAATTTATAGCCAATTCCTGGCATCAGGTTGTTAATAATGTATTCACTTTCATAATATATAACTAAAACATACATTGGATTTTTCATTGCATAGTAAACTACAAATAAAATTAAAATTACTCATAATTTCACTGCCTTGTTTACTTCAATAATAATACTAGATTATATAGTTTAAGCAGTATGAAAAAGTACAAGATGAAAAGTGAGAAACTTTCTTCCCTATTTCTTAATGTTAAGTAACCAAAGTATTGGTTATTCTTTCCAGATTAAAAATAGGTTACAAATATCTATCTACAAATACACATATTTTGTCATTATTTTAATCATATGTTTTTTCAAATCAGTAAATAAAAATCCATGTCACTATGTAATAACCACAAAGTATTCTATAGTTTTCATGGAGTATTATTTAGTTAAATAATTAATTGCTTATCAATAGTCACTTTGTTTGCCTTCAGGTTTCATTATCACATAACTACGGAGATGGTCACATTGTGACTGACTGTGCAGGAGGTACCATTGTCATTTCTATTTAACAGAGGAGGAAAGGAAGTCACAGAGCATTCAAGCAGATTTCCTGGTATCCCTCACTTTCCTAGTGCAGTCAAAATATAAATAAAGGCAGTCTGACTTCAGATTCCAGGATCTTAAACACTACCATATATATTTCTAGTAGACAAAAGTGGCTGTGCTGGTGCCTCCTATGTCTAGAATTTCAAGATGAGCCCTGAGTTGTTTCATGAGATTCAGAGCTTTTTCTGAATAAAATTATGTAGTTTGTTTATAACTCCAACAATGTCATGTACTCCTTACTTACTTAGAATAAAAACACATTCCTGTAATTTTGTGCTGAAGGATGAGACTCCAGAATCAAGATGCCTTTTTTTTTAGCAGAGACATTAATGAGTTTATGCAAATCTAAATGGGGGCCTAGAGCTGGGAGTACAGAGTTTAGTGACTCTTTAAAATAAGATAGGAGAAATTGAATTTGAGGGAGGAAAATCCAAGAGAAGAGGCCATGCAATATGGCAAGGATCTGGAGCCTATGGAGAAATGTAAGTGTTGAGATGTTCCTAATAGTGCATAGTGAAATAGCAGGAACACTTTGTAGGTAAAGAAAGTCTAATATTCAATTTACATTTTTTTCATTTAATATACATATATATGAAGTTTTATTGTCAGAATATCCAGGAAAGGAGGCAAAATTCCATGTATGGGTTGATAAAGAATAGAGGAACAAAGAAAATATAGTAAAAGCAGTATAAGTGAAATGAAATTTCAGCAACACTGGAAACTTAGTGGTATATGATATAGGAGATTACAAAAGCAGCCAACTCCCTTCCCTGCAACTCCCACAAACCTCCTAGAACTTGAAGAAGTCTTATAAACATCAGATTTCCTATAGAATCTGCGAAATCTTGAAAATGTATTTGATTACCTAGAAATAAGTTGGTCTTTGCTGACATCTAATTACAATAAGATTTAAGAAGAAGTCAAAGGAAAAGAGATCTACAAGAGACTGAAAAGTATTGCCAAGGAAATACAGCCAAGGAGGAGTATTTGGCAGAAACACAGAACAGAGGAAATGGTCAGTTAAGTACTTCACACTTCACTTTCCTTTATTAATATATTTGACAGTTTCAGAAAAATGAAACTACGAAAAATATGACAAAATATTGCAAAGAATTCTCAGACACCCTAGTTCCAGATTTATCAAATATCAACATTTAAGTACAACTTTTAATAAAGATATTTATTCATTCTTCTTTCTCATGGTTGGTTATCTATCTATCTATCTATCTATCTATCTATCTATCTATCTCTATCTATCATCTATCTATATCTATCTATCATCTATCTGTAGATCTATCTATATTATGTATCTACGTATCTATCATCTATCATCATCTATCATCTATATCTATCATCTATCATCTATCTATATCTATCATCTATCTATCTATCTAATCTATCTATGTATTCTGTCTTTCTATCTACCTACCTATCTTACTATCTTTCTTGTAATCTAAGATAAATACATATATAAAAATAGGTTATATGTGTATGTGTTTTCCCCCTGAACTACTGAGGAATAATTTGCAGACAGGATATTCCTTTACTTTTCCCCACAAAGTACTTATGTATATTTCCTATAAAGACGGATTTATTTTACACAATGTTTACAATGGCTAAATAAACAACATTGATTAAATATCAACATTTATTTCTAGGAGTAGTAAATTATTCTGTTAAGGGCCAGAAGCTAATTATTTTAGTTTTTGCAAACCATATGGTTTTGGTTGCAACTACTCAATTCTGCTGTTGCAGTGCAAAGGCAGCCAGAGTAAATATATAAATGAAAGGCATGGCTGTGCTCAATATAAATTTATTTTCAAAAACAAGTAGTAGGATTGCTTGGCTCATGAGTCATATTTGCTGACCCCGATCTAATATATAACCCTTCTTCAGAAGTTCCTAGATAATGTCATTTATAGCAAAAGAAAATCTAAGGTCATGTGTTGCATTCAGTTGTCATGTAGTCTTATTTAATCTTGAACTGTTTATTTTTTAATACTTTTGAAGACAACTGAGCAATTATTTTGTAGAATGTTCCTCTAATTGGATTTATCTGATTCTTATTTTTGGTTAAATTCAAGGTAATCACTTTTGTTCTGAATGTTATGGAGGTGACGATGGACATTCTCAATGCATCATGTCAGGGGCACATGTCGTTGATTGTAACACCATTACTTGTATTAATAACTTTTGTAATTAGGCTAGAAGGCTGCCAGCCAGATTTCTCCAATAGAAAGTTACAACTTTATACCTCATAATTAGTAAATGTTTTATTGGGAGCTGCTTTGAGACTACATAAATATTATGTATTCCTCAAACTTTCACTCTCTAGTTTCAGAATTTATTGACTATTTTTACCTGAATCAGTTATTACAGTGGTTGCCAAATGGTGATTTTCTAATTGCATCATACCTTCCACATCTAGTGGTTGGTTTTCTAGTGCAATGAAGACCATCTCTATATGTTTGTTATGGAGACTTACTTTATTCAATAGAGTAAAAAAAAAAATACCGTTATTTATTTCAATTGTCAAAATATCCAAGATTTGACTTTTTAGAGTCTCTTCAAACTGACTTCTAAGTCTTTTTATGTCTCCATCATTCGTTGAGCGCATCTATGCTTTTTTGGCATATAAAGGTATTCCAGCTTCAATTTATCCTTACCAGATCCTGACATGAAATCAGTAATTTCTCTAAGGAGCCTTGATTCTATTTTAGGGGAGAATGGTATTTAGAAAACAAGATATACAAACAAGTATTGCCATTGCTACCTGGGAAATATAACATGCATACATACACACACACATACAGATATACCCACACACATCTATTATCTATTTCTATGTCTATCTACACGCTTAATATATTAAACCCAAGGAGTTAGCACTGACATCTTCAAGTCCAATTCAACATGATAGGATTTATTTATCGTTTTCCCTTCCATGTTTGTAAGTCTCTAATAGGAAAAAGCTGGCTGTCATTATCCATAATATATTTATGTATTTGATCAATTCTGGAATATGTAAAAGTTTTAGAATTACTAATATATACCTCTGAGAACAAAAAAAGAACTATACATTAAAGTTTAATATTGGAACTTTTTTTTCCTGTAACCTAAGGATATGTAGTCCCCAAACTACTTCAAAGTTACCTGGGGTAGTTCTTCCCTCACACTACCATTTCCATATGTTTCTATTAATTTGTTTCCATTTGTATTTAATTTTGACTCACTTCTCTCTCTTTGTTGATTTTGTTTATTTATTCTCATTTAGAATATGTAAAACATTGATTCCAAAAATCAGTACTATGCCGGAAAGTATATTCAGAGAGTACTCAACTCCTCCCTTCACTCCCTGCCCTTTCCACTGCTTCTCACTCATGCCCTGTATGCCCTGTAGGTGACAAGTTCTTATTGTTCATCAGTTTAACCCTCCAGCATTTGTTTTTGCTCAAATGAACAGACACTTCTGTGTTTATTTTCATTTTTTATTTCTCCTCCTTTTATTTCTCCTCCATTAAAGTAGAACAGTTTGAAATATGAATAATTTATCATACTTTGCTTTCTTCATTTAATAATATAACATGAAAATCATTCCACACCTCCAGACCAGTTTATGAAGATCTACTTCATACTTTATTTATTATTTTTTTTTTTTAGAGACAAGATCTCACTCTGTCACCCAGGCCGGAGTGCAGTGGCACAATTATAGCTCACTACAGCCTCAAATTCCTGAGCTCAAGTGATCCTACCACCTCAGCCTCCCAAGTAGCTGGAACTGCATCCACACACCAAGTCACCTGGCTAACTTAAAAAAAAAATTGTAGAGATGGGGCCTCATCATGTTACCCAGCCTGATCTCAAACTCATAGGTTCAAGTGATCCTCCTTTTATGGCCTCCCAAAGTGCTGGGATTATAGGTATGAACCACCACGTTCACCCTCATTTTTTTTGTTTTTTACAACTACTTGGTACTCTATTTTTGCATTTATCAGAATTTAATTCCTAGGTATAGGCACATAAGTTGTTTCCAGTATTCTGCAGTTCTGCCTATACATTTTCACAGTGTCAAAAGTGTAGCTTTAAAGTAAATTCTTAGAAGTTGCAAACATGTATTGTACTTTCTCTTCTTTTTAGACAGAGGTCTTGCTTTTACTTTGAGCAGAAGTGGTGTCAACTTTTCTTTTACTTAATCAGTGCAGTATTGAGCATGTAATAAGAGTACAGTGTATATTTGCTGAATGAATAAAATTGTCCCAGGTATAGAAAATTTGATGAGAAATAAATCTACCTAGACACACAATCTTGGAAAGGAGAACTGCTTTGTGAGAAAAGCTCCTGAAAGAGAAATATGACACAAGCATCACAGACAAAGACCAAAGGAAGCAAAGCTCTTGAGGCAACTAAGCTCAACTACCAATAGCAAGAGAGCCTGTAAACAACATCTGAGCAGAATTAGGAAACAAGGGACGGAGAATTCACCATTTTCAGTTCTGTTGGAGCCCGTGTGAGTAACATCTGCAACAAAGATCTTCGGATAGAAAATTCCACACCCAAAAGCGGCGGAACGAAAATGCGTTGTAGAAACTGAACCCAGACTTCAGAGAACAAAATAGCTTATGTAAATTTCTGACAATTAAGTTGGCCCCCAAAAAGGGAAATTTTTGAGTGCATTTGAATGGATTTTGGCCTTTTTTTCCAAAGGGAAGTAATTAAAGAAATATGAAAAGCAGTCTCAAAAGTAGGAAAGTCTGTTATCTCCTCACCAAGAGAAATCGACAGAATTGTAATGCTTCCATGAACTCGCATGACAGCAGAGTGTAAACTCAACACAAGCCTGTATTTGGCTCTAAAAAAAAATCTATTACAAGCTTCTCCCTTTCATCCCTTTTCATGTTTAGTTCAGATTCAGAAAAATGTGAATAATTCATAAGTTCAAATGTTCTCCCCATTATGGTGAATAGCATCACACTGAAGCTGCTGCTTATTTTGCTAACTACATATTGCTAAGAAGATTCTCTCTGACTCTCTACTGTTTCTTTTTACTAAGATGTCTGTCCCTTTTTTTAAAGGTATTTTACCATTTTTTTTGAATTAACATTTAAGTCTATTATGTAATCGTACATCAATTTGATTAAATCAATTTTTAGGTTAATTCAAAGAACTGAAAATCAAATCAGATATTATTAATCTAAAAAACAAAAATTGCCACATCATAACCTGGCTAAAGGATACAGCTGAGCATGCCCCAGATTTTCATAGTAATAAAAAACTTGAGGTTTGGCAGTTTATTTTTAACAGATGTTTTTAAGATATTCATATACAAAGAACTGCATATATTGAATGCGTATACTTTGTTGAGTTTGCACATATGCAAACACCGATGATACCATCACCACAGTCAAGGTAATAGACACACTCAACACCGGCCAAAGGTTTTGTGTACCTTTGTTTTTTGTTTTTGTTTATGTTTTTGTGGTAAGAATTTTTTTTTATTTTAGTTGACAAATAATTAGACATATTCATGGGGTACATAGTGATGTTTCAATACATATGTACAGTAATCAGATAAGGGTAATGAGCTCTCAACATGAGATTTATCCTCAAATTTTGAAGCGCATAATATCATGTGATTATCTTCAGGTACTACGATGTACAGCACCTCTCTATAACTTTTCTTCTAGCATAGCTAAAACTTTTTACCCACTGAGCAACCAACTGCCTTTTCCCCAACCTCCCCTTTAACCTGTTGTATTATGTGTTTCTATGAGTTTGACCATTATAGATAACTCATATAAGTGAAATCATGTGGCCGGGGGCTCTGGCTCATGCCCGTAAACCCACCACTTCGGGAGGCCGAGGGGGTGGATTACTTGAGGTCAGGAGTTTAAGACCAGCCTGGCCAACATGGCGAAATCCCATCTCTACTAAAATACAAAAATTAGCTGGGCGTGTTGGTGGGCACTTTTAATTCCAGCTACTTGGGAAGCCAAGGCAGGAAAATCAGTTGAACCTAGGAGGTGGAGGTTGCAGTGAGCTGAGATCGTTCGCCATTATACTCCAGCCTGGGCAACAGAAAGAGACCCTGTCTCAAAAAAAAAAAAAAAAAGAAAAAAGAAAAAGAAAAGTGAAATCATGCAGCATTTGTTCCTCCATGATTGGCTTACTTCATTTAGCATAATATACTCAAGGTTCATTTATGTTGTCACAAATTATAGGGTTACATTTTTGTAAAGATTATAATATCCATTGTATGTGAATACCATATTTTCTTTATAAGTCAATTGACATTTGGATTTTTTCCATATCTGGGCTATTGTGAATAATGTGGCAATGGATGTGGGAGTGAAGATATTTCTTTGAGATCTTGATATCAGTTCTTTTACATTTATAGCCAGAAGTGAGATTGCTGGATAATATGGCAGTTCTAGTTATATTTTTTGAGAAATTTCGACACTGTTTTCCATAGCTACTGTGCCATTTTATACTTCCAGCATCAGTGTACAAGGGTTCCAATTTTTCCACATCATTGTCAACACTTATTATCTTTCAGTTTGTTAATAATAATCATTCTAATATGTGTGTATTAGTCAGGATTCTCCAGAAAGATGGAAGAAACAGAAAAAACATATATGTAATATAGTCTCAGTCCACTCAGGTTGCTGTAACAAAATACTTTAGACTGGGTAATTTGTAAACAACAGAAATTTATTGATCATAGTTGTAGGAGCTGGGAAGTTCAAGATGAAGGCATCCAATTTAATACCTGGTGAAGGCTTTTCTTTGTTTCAAACATGAAACTTTTTGTTGTGCCTTCACATGGCAGAAGGACAAAGCAGCTCCCTCAAGCTTCTTTTGTAAGAACATTAATACCATTGTGAGGGCAGATCCCTCGTGATCTAATCATCTTCTAAAGGCCCCACTTCTTAACACCATCACATTGGGGATTAAATTTCAGCAAATGAATCAACTGAAAAGAATTAAAGACTTCAACATAAAACCCAAAACTGTAATACTGCTAGAAGAAAACATCGGAGGAAGGGGCTTGATATTGGTCTTTGCAGTGATTTCTTGGATATGACACCTAAAGCAAAAGCAACAAAAAAGCAAAATTAAATAAATGAGGCTGCATCAAACTAAAGGACTTCCGCACAGCAAAGGAAATAATCAAGAGAATGAAAAGACAGTCAATGGAAAGGAAGAAAATATTTGCAAACCATCTATCTTATAAAAAGTAAATTCCCCAAATATGTAAGGAAATACAACTGAATAGCAAACAACCTAATTAAAAAATGAGCAAAGAACTTGAACAGATGTTTCTCCAAAGAATATGTTCAGATAGGCAACCAACAAGTATATGAAAAGATGCTCAACATCCTTAATTATTAGTAAATTTGCAAATCAAAACTATAATATTTGTTCCTTTTTAAGGTCCCAGTATGTGTTGTGAAGGCATAAGAGCTTTGTTTTCAAACCTTGATTTTAATAATAATTTTTATAAATTTATAATAATTTAATAAATAATAAAATTTATAATAATACATTTTATAAATTTTACAATTTAATTAAAATATTCTTCTATAGTTTTAGAATTTTTCTTGACAGTCTTTGTCATACTAACATATCACAAATACTATTCCTTACCTCATCCCTTTGCATTTATAAATGTTTCTTAGGTACTCATCATGTGATACCTATTTTAATTGCCTTATTTATTTAATCATCATAAAACTCCAGACATAGTTGCTATCATTATTTGCATTTTCAGGTGTCGAAATTGAGGCTCAGAGTGTTTTACTAGCTACCTCATGATGACAAAGCTAAAAAGTGGCAAAATTGGAATTTTATTTTGACACTAGGGCCCAAGCAGTCGCCATATCTTGACCTTTGATAATGATGTTGAATTTACAAAGTTGTTGTTGTTGTTCTTTTACTAAGCCTAACTATGACAAGACAATATAATTGGGTTAGAACAACTTAAAATTCACTTTCCCAATTTATCTTAGAGAAATTAAATAACAGTTGCATTTAAGAGGTAGAAGTGGCATTCTCTGCCAAAAGGCCAAATTTTAAAAGGATTCCCCAGTATAAAGTTTTCTGTGTATCCTACTGTTAAAACATTTCACATTTTGTGAGTTTACATTTACTGAGTTCATGAAGCACTCAGCTATGCATTATGAGTTCTGTCATTTAGCCCTGATTGCTATCCAAACTCCAGATGTATACTTTTAGCTACCTATTTGACAATAACACTTGGATTCCCAGTATTCACTTCTAATTATACATATCTAATTTAAGAGACTGACATCCTCTCCAACAACCTGTTTTTACTCTACTTTTCTCCATCTCAGAATGGTGCACAAACAGGTGCCTCGTTATTCGGGACAATACCCTAGGGGTCAGACTTGTGTATCCTTTCCCTGTCTCCTATATTCAATTTATTGTTTCGTCCTGTCACTATAAATCTCCAAAATGTATCTTAAATCCAAGTAATTCCCTCCATATATTACCACCACCATAACCCACATCCCATTATCGCTTGCCTTATCTGCTGTTATTTTGGCATTATCAGTTTTCCTTCTTCTAATCTTGACTCCCTAAACTCGAGGTAATGTAAGTAGTCTTTTGAAAACATCTATCATTTTCTATTTATTGCTTTAATGTCTTCTCATTTATTTTAAATTGAACCCTACAGTCTTTACAAAAACCCCTAACTCTCCAATCTTATTTCTCAAAACTATTTGCCCTTGCTCATTTCCTTCCCCAAAATGTCCATGTTTCAGTTCCTTGAATGTTCCAAGGTGTTTCTCAGCACAGGAACTTTTTTTTTTTTTTTTCTTTTGAGACGGCGTCTCGCTCTGTCACCCAGGCTGGAGTGGCAGTGGCGCGATCTCGGCTCACTGCAAGCTCCGCCTCCCGGGTTCACGCCATTCTCCTGCCTCAGCCTCCCGAGTAGCTGGGACTACAGGCACCCGCCACCACGGCCCGGCTAATTTTTTTTATATTTTTAGTAGAGACGGGGTTTCACCGTGTGTTCGCCAGGATGGTCTCGATCTCCTGACCTCGTGGTCCGCCCACCTCGGCCTGCCAAAGTGCTGAGATTACAGGCGTGAGCAGGAACTTTTTATAGACTCTTCTTTTGATGTGAAACACTTTCCCCGAAGCTTGTCATATAGAAGATATTTTCTTGTTCACAAAATATCACCTTTTGATGGGGCCTTCCTTGATGATTCTATCTAAAATCATCTTCTTCATTTACTGTCTGTCAAATTATAGTACATATAGTACATATTATAACCTAGACATATATTGTTTATTAATTTTTTATTGGCTATCACCATAAACTAAAATGCAAACTACAAAGGAGAAGGGACATTGCCTACAAGCATGCATAGCACAGGTTAGCTGTTAATAAACAGTGATTCAATGAATGAACAAATGGAATCTCACAACTACTCTATAAGACATTCCTTTTGTAACTTCATTTTGGGGTCTAAGAAAATCAAGGCTGAGAACATTACAGACAATTTCTGAGGATCATAAATCTAGTGAATAGAAGCCTTGTGATCCAGGCACAAATCTGGCTGACTCAAGAGTTCAATCTCTAATCATTTTAATCATGTATTCTGCTTAAATTTATTCTCTTTCTAAATAAAGAACATTCAGCTGGTATTTTTTTAGAAACTCTTAAGCTGTTCTTACACTTGACCTGTAAATCAGTTTGTGAGGTAAGGACATTATGCCAACATGGCTGAATAAGCCCTTGGGATCCAAGCCTGTTACTTTGAGCATCAACTAGAGTCTATAGTGAGCCTGTGATGTCACCACCTCTTTTACAGCTGAGTAGGGAGTTCTGGAATGGCCAATTTATTTCGCAGGTCATTAGTAATCTGGGCAGCTTGGGCCTGCAGGTAGCACTGATAGATCTACTTGTCACAATAATAAGTCACTTTCTTAGAGTTGCACAGATTGGGGGAAAGTGTTTTTCCACTAAATCTTTAGGGAAACAGTTGTTTAGAGGATACACAATATATCATTTCAGGTTATAATGAATCTTTTAACATCACAAAATACCGTAGTATTTGGCTAGATATGGAATTATATTTCTCCCTACTTTTACCAGAGATAGAATAATTTGTCAACAAGAACTCCATATAGAAGTTCTATCAAAATGACTTAAATTCCAGAATTATCAGGCTATTTTTAAAACATTCGTAGGAAATAGTTATTCTTTATCGCAAGCTATCCATTTGATTGATTTTTCTCTTATTTAATTAAAGATATTTATTAGGTAGGTAGTTTTTAATGTTAAATGTTATACACACACATACATATGAAAAAAGTGAGACATAAGTAAAAGTAATCTTTCATTTTTCAACTTCCACTTCAACTTTTAGTAATTCAAAAAGGTGAACTACTTCATAGAGGCAGCTCAGCAGTCCTGGAATCATTTTCTATTCTGTTGTCATGTAGTTTCTGATCTTGGGCAAGCAATAACTGACATAGGAATCAAATATCTAAGTTATAAAACGGGTAGATAAGAACACGATTTTCTTTTAAGTCAATATGTATTTTCTATTCTTTTCCCAGTTATAGTAGTGACTTCTCTTGAATTGTAAGTTTCGTGACTGCTATGACTCCTTTGTGTATATACTGTACTTAAACTTATAAAGTAAAACATGCTACACTGGATTGTAATTTCCTATTGTCATTCCTGAGGATATCAGCAGATGCTCAAATTCCTTGTATAATACAGCTATTATTTGCATATAACCTACTCATATTTTCTCATATACTTTACATCATTTTCAGATTACTTATAATATCTAATACAATGTAAATTCTATATAAATAGTTATGCTGTATTTTTTGTACAATTTTAAATTGTTATAATTGTTATATTTATTGTTTTCTTTCTCTGGTTATTTTTGATCCATGGTTGATTGAATGTGCAGATTCTTGTGGAAAGGGAGGGTCTAACTGTATTTCTTTTTATCAGTGTTACCCACTAGAAGGCAGGGATATATCTTTGAGATTGTTTGATTCAATTGGCTTCACCTTTAATATCTGGCACCAGTTCTGCAATCATTTGTTGATGAATGAACACTTTCTCATCTCTTCCAATTCTGATAAATATACATTTGGAAAAAAGTCAGCAAATATTAATGGATTCAGGTCTTAAGTAACAAAGTGAAAGGGGTTGTTGTTTAAAATTAACTGGGCAGACATGATGTCACTGGCACTGAGTCTAAACACAGGGATCATTTTACCAGATACGCTAGCTGCAGGCTCATGACTGCCTACTATTGCCTGCCCTCAGAACAGTAAGAACAGCTTTGCAGCCTGCATCTGCTAAAGACTGAATGTGTACCAGAGAGAGCCAATAAGGCAAACAGATTGAGGTTTCAAGATATAGGCATAATACCACTTTATCCAATAAAGGAAGGTCTCAGATCAAGTTGAATCGGCACGGTATTTTCTCACCGTTAAAACTAGCACTCTCTGGGTAGTGTGCGGTGGCTCACGCCTGTAATCCCAGCACTTTGGGAGGCCGAGGCGGGCAGATTGCCTGAGGTCAGGAGTTCGAGACCAGTCTGGCCAATATGGTCAAACCTTGTCTCTACTAAAAATACAAAAAATTAGCCTGGTAAGGTGGTGCACACTGGTAACCCCAGCTATCTGAGAGGCTGAGACAGGAGAATTGCTTGAACCTGGGAGGTGGAGGTTGCAGTGAGTCAAGATCATGCCACTGCACACCTGCTTGGGTGACAGAGTGAGACTCCATCTCAAAAAAAAAAAAATAGCACTCTCTGGAATACAATTTTCTAAATGAGTAAATCCTAGTGATCGCTTCATTTAATCATCCAGGTTTAGGAAAATGTAATATCAAAATAATGACAGTGTTTGTCTTCTTAAAGCCTATTTCCTCAAAACTGAAATCTAGAAGATATTCTGAATGAAAGCGAGTATTAAACAAAAATGATATCCTTTCCTTTTCCCATGGAGCTGATTTATAAGAAACTAAAAGGAAAATTTTATAACTTAAATGTATTTTATCACATCTACAGCAGAATCTCTTCTGTCTTTAAGAAATAAAAGTCACAACATTGAAATTACTAAATTACTCACTGGCAAACAGGCACTGGCAAATTCTCATTTCCTTTTACACATCTAAGAAAGAAAATAGCAAAATATGCATGGAAAAGTATTGAAATGTATCACATTTATTTAAAAAAGGATATGTTTTTGAGATGTCATTGTAAAAGGATGATGTTAAAACTTGATGTGTTTTATTATCAGGAAAATAGAAATTAAGCCATAATGGTGCATTTGACAAGAAAGTATGTGTAATTGAAAAACATGAGTAATCGGGGCTCATCCCTGAGCTCAGATTATTCATGAGTTTCCTCAAGCATGTAGAAGCATCTGACATTTGGGAGACAGGGGGACAGATGTATGTGTGAAGTGCCTCCCTCCCTGGCCTGCATGTCATCGCTGAAGGTAGCACTTGCACGTAATGTAGATAGTAAACAGACTGGCATTCTGCCTGCTGCTGACCTGACAGGAAGCATCTGGCAGAAAGTCAGAAGGGCATCTGCATTACCTGTTATCTAGCTCCTTATCCAACAGTCAAGCAATATGACTGAATTTTGTTTAATATGCCGTGATTCTCTTCTTGGTCTTCTTGGTTAAGATTATATGTATATTAACTCATAATAAAAGGAGGTGTTTTATTGTTTCCCATATTTAGATAAGGAAACTACAGTATTGAAAGGTCAAGTAACCAGAAGCCCAATTAGTGTTAGAACCATGTTTCTAACTCTGGCCCCTAAGCCTGTGTCCAAGACACCACTCTGCCAAAAAAAACTCATGTGATCGTAAATCTCAGTAGATAAAGTCCATGTTGAATTCTCCACTGACTTCAGGAAATTTCATACTAGCAAAACTCTGTAAGGACATGCATGCAAATCCAGTGTTATCTTTTCTCTCATTTTGTATTCATTCAAATCTAACAAATCAGACAAACCTATAAAGAAACTCAAAACTAAAAAAAGAAGTCCTGCCATGCAGATAAAATCACCTGCCATTTACAAAGATTTTACCTACATCTTAAGTATAAATTTCTAATTTGAGCTGAGTATAGTGAGTATAGCTGTGTAATAAATTTACATCCAGAAGAGTTGGAAAAAAATTCTTTTAATTGAGAAACTGTTTCTGTCCTGAAATGACCAATATGAAAGCATACATGTCTTTGCCACAGAAGTGAATACTTTCTGATGTATGAAATAGCAATGTTCAAGGATGCCTTCAGCAATATTCAAATTAGCCTTAATGATGACATGTTAAAGCCTTCCAAGCTCCCAAAATAATTTCTGTTTAATTACTTTTCTACAACTGTAAGGCATGAATGTACTATCACTTTAAATACAATTACATGAATTTATTTTCAATATTTCCATCAAGGCTAATTTAAATGCATTTTTTCTTTTATTAAATGCTTTTATGGTTTTGGTGACAATATCATTGTGCTGTTTAATTAAATGAGTTTTGTTTAAAGTTATTAACATCCCTGACACACCACACACAGGTAGATGTGTGCACGCAAACACCCACACACACGCACGGGATTTCCTTGTTCAGTCCTTCGTTTTTTTTCCGCATAATCTTATTCACAACTTTTATATGTATTGAAAATATTGGCTTTGAAAACATTCTTTGTGGTAGTGTCTTTTTCCGTAATTAGTTTTCTCTTGTATTGCTTTTGTTCATCCATCCATAATTCTTATTGTATAAACATAAATTAGACAAGAACTAGGTGGTTTACACTACTATAAATATTTTTCTTATCCTTAATTTGCACTGGCTGTTTTATTTCTTTTATTTGTCATTGTAGGATGGCTTCCTCTCGTTAACCTATAAACCTCTGGAGACTGTGTTTCTCGCCATACTCCGTTATGACTAGAAGCAGTTTTTTCAGATTCTTTCTGAACAAATGCAAGGCAATGACAAAAAAACATTTCTGAAAGATTTTATGTGAGTTTCAAATTACCACACTAGATAAACTCTAACTTCATAATACCCCCTGATTGTAGTATCTGAATAATACAGAAAATGTCACCACAAAATGAGGTTGACGTAGAACCAGGTCCTAACATATTTCAAAGATGCTAGATATAATGATGTCTCTGTTAGCATTTTCTGGGCTCTGAATCCACCAATCTACCATGCCCCTCACTCTTCCCCATCACATACAGACCATAAACCTGACACACCCATTCATGATCCTGTGGGCCTACCACCACTTCCACTTGAGAGAGTGTATTAAAGACAAATGAGAGAGAAGGATTGTTGTGTAAGGATAATATTGTAGATAGGTTCAGCTCAACAACTTTGTAATATTGTAGATAGGTTCAGCTCAACCACAATAAAAAGGCTCCCTTTATTATGAATTAATATACATAACTTTCTACCAGAATCAGACTTCCCGACTCTAACTTGTGAACCTAAGCTTTCTAGGCCTCAGTTTTCTAATTTGTGAAATAAAGACAATAATAATATTTAATTAATAGTATTTCTGTGATGATTAAAATGGATAATAAATGTATCCAGTCCCCTTGTGCAGTGTCAAATGAGGGGTAATAACTTAGTATATATTGCACATGGCTTTAGAGTTTTCCTTTTTAAATAATATTATTAAACAACATATTGTGTTCTAATATGGTTTTTAATTTCCTGCACTTGTTAATATGTTTTTATTAATAACTTATTAATGGAATTACATATTCAGAAATGACCCTGGACAATCTTTAGTTTAGATAGTCTTGTACATTTACAAGGACTTATCTATACAACAGTAGGTCATTTTATTTAATATAAAGATATACCGTGAATTTTCTTTTTAAATAGCAAGGCTCTTTGGAAATGAATTTGCAGAAAGTTTTGACTTATTGAACTCAGTCTAGGCTTTTTATGTGTTTGATGATTTTTCTTAGCTATTTAGTGTAATTCAGTATAATCGTTAAAATGACTGAATCAGATGAACAATTTATAATTTCTAAAAACCACAAGTCAAGAGACAAGGTTTTCTATTTTAGATTTGTCACTAACAAGTTGGTGATCTTGCGTGAATTGTTTATGCAATTAATTCTTCATGACTTGGGATCATTTTACTAGATGTACACTAGCTTAAATGAACTAATGGGAGCCTAGCAAGTTCTAGTATCAAGTCAGAATTCAGAATTTGAAAAATTCAGGTCAGAAGGGATCTTATGTAGTTCAAACTGGAATGCCTATAAAGCTATGTAGGTAATGAAAATGAAGAAAGTGTAACAACCGTAGCTCAAGCAAGATTATAAATGGGAATTTACAGTCAGTGTTGTGGATATAAGAATGCTTTTATCTATGGTTAATTAGGGAAAATAAAACTTGTCTATAAGGGACAGTAACTCCTTACTTCCTATTTGTTGTTGCCACAGAAAAACCTAGTGCAATTTTGCCAGATTTTCTGATGTTCAAATGCTAAGAGATGCTGGAAATTAAGATTTTCATGTGAACTATTCTGAATTCTATATTTTTGCAAATATTTGTTTGTTTGTTTGTTTAATAATATCTTAAAGCCACACAAACAGATTATGGTGCTACATTCAACCCAAGAACCACCAATTTGTCACCTGGTCAAATAGTTTCCCATTTAACACTTGAATTCCTCCCCAACATTCCTAAGAAGTGATCATTACTATTAATAACTTAAGATAGTAATGAGCATATTACTATCTATTGTCTGTCTATACAACTTTATAAATGATATGCTCATTACTAGCTTGGTCGATTATTCTTATTTATAGACAGTTTTGCTAGAAAGTTTTTTTTTTAATTGCTTTTGCTAAAATTAGTGCCAATAATTGTCACATGTAAATTACTTTCCTCTTCAAAAACCATGATGAAAATCTAATCTGCATATTCTTTAAGCTATTGAGGAAAATTATTGCATCTCTATCCCCACATTAACACCTACATCTTTTCTTATTTCAACGATTTCACATAGAGTTGCAATTTCTTCAGCTTTCTGGTCGAAACGAATTTATAGAACCTATCTGTATTCTTAAAAGTGTTCAGGACAGAGTTAAGTACTGTAGTCTAAACAGTGGTTCCCAAACTTTTTGGCACCAGGGACCAGTTTCATGGAAGACGATTTTTTCCACAGACGGGGGTAGGGAGGTTAGGAGGGTAGGAGGTGGAGGAGATGGTTTTGGGATGACACTGTTTCACCTCAGGTCATCAGGCATTTGCTACATTCTCATAAGGAATGTGCAACCTAGATCCCTCGCATGTGCAGTTCACAATCGAGTTCAGGCTCCTGTGAGAATGTAATGCTGCCACTGAAGTGACAGGAAGCAAAGTAAGGAGATAATGCTCACTTGCCTCCCGCTCACCTCCTGCCGTGTGGCTGGGTTCCTAACAGGCCAAGGACTGGTACTGGTCCACAGCTGGGGGTTGGGGACTCTGGTTTAAAGTGAGACACATCAGAACAGTGCCAGTCCTGAACCACTATCCTTTTAGCACGCTAATGTGGCACATAAAAATCTCTGCTTCTAGAATTACTTTGCTATGCAAATTAAATATTACAATTATCAAAATAACATCACTATTCTTTTTGTTTTCTGACTTTTCTTCATAGATGATGCCACTTGACCCTACAATGTGATATCTTCAGTTTCCTACATTCAGTAAAACTTTTCAAGACTCAGCCTCATATAATAGAATGTTACTCAACAGTTGAAAAGTTGTTTGCATCGTCGTTTATATATTTATAATATTTTATTCATGTCATTAGTATTTTTGGTCATAGTTTTGGACAATCTACAAGATTGTTTTGCAACTTTTCTTTTTTTATTTATTTATTATTATTATACTTTAAGTTTTAGGGTACATGTGCACATTGTGCAGGTTAGTTACACATGTATACATGTGCCATGCTGGTGTGCTGCACCCACTAACTCGTCATCTAGCATTAGGTGTATCTCCCAGTGCTATCCCTCCCCCCTCCCCCCACCCCACAACAGTCCCCAGAGTGTGATATTCCCCTTCCTGTGTCCATGTGTTCTCATTGTTCAATTCCCACCTATGAGTGAGAATATGCCGTGTTTGGTTTTTTGTTCTTGGGATAGTTTACTGAGAATGATGATTTCCAATTTCATCCATGTCCCTACAAAGGACATGAACTCATCATTTTTTATGGCTGCATAGTATTCCATGGTGTATATGTGCCACATTTTCTTAATCCAGTCTATCATTGTTGGACATTTGGGTTGGTTCCAAGTCTTTGCTATTGTGAATGATGCCGCAATAAATATACGTGTGCATGTGTCTTTATAGCAGCATGATTTCTAGTCCTTTGGGTATATACCCAGTAATGGGATGGCTGGGTCAAATGGTATTTCTAGTTCTAGATCCCTGAGGAATCACCACACTGACTTCCACAATGGTTGAACTAGTTTACATTCCCACCAACAGTGTAAAAATGTTCCTATTTCTCCACATCCTCTCCAGCACCTGTTGTTTCCTGACTTTTTAATGATTGCCATTCTAACTGGTGTGAGATGGTATCTCACTGTGGTTTTGATTTGCATTTCTCTGATGGCCAGTGATGATGAGCATTTTTTCATGTGTTTTTTGGCTGCATAAATGTCTTCTTTTGAGAAGTGTCTGTTCATATCCTTCGCCCACTGTTTGATGGGGTTGTTTGTTTTTTCTTGTAAATTTGTTTGAGTTCATTGTAGATTCTGGATATTAGGCCTTTGTCAGATGAGTAGGTTGCAAAAATTGTCTCCCATTCTGTAGGTTGGCTGTTCACTCTGATGGTAGTTTCTTTTGCTGTGCAGAAGCTCTTTAGTTTAATTAGATCCCATTTGTCAATTTTGGCTTTTGTTGCCATTGCTTTTGGTGTTTTAGACATGAAGTCCTTGCCCATGCCTATGTCCTGAATGGTAATGTCTAGGTTTTCTTCTAGGGTTATACTGGCAAACCGAATTCAGCAGCAAATCAAAAAGCTTATCCACCATGATCAAGTGGGCTTCATCCCTGGGATGCAAGGCTGGTTCAATATACGCAAATCAATAAATGTAATCCAGTATATAAACAGAACCAAAGACAAAAACCACATGATTATCTCAATAGATGCAGAAAAGGCCTTTGACAAAATTCAACAGCACTTCATGCTAAAAACTCTCAATAAATTAGGTATTGATGGGACGTATCTCAAAATAATGAGAGCTATCTATGACAAACCCACAGCCAATATCATACTGAATGGGCAAAAACTGTAAGCATTCCCTTTGAAAACGGGCACAAGACAGGGAAGCCCTCTCTCACCACTCCTATTCAACATAGTGTTGGAAGTTCTGGCCAGGGCAATTAGGCAGGAGAAGGAAATAAAGGGTATTCAATTAGGAAAAGAGGAAGTCAAATTGCAACTTTTCTTTAAAAATCAAACACATTTGTTAAAAGATTATTGTGGAATTTTCCTTTAAAAGTAAAAAATGTTGCTTAGACCTATAAGAATTTATACTGACAGAGTTTTCTTTTAGCTCATTAGAAATTTGAGATAGCTCACATGTATCTTAAGAAGTAGCATAGCATTTGTGAGATCCCAACCATGGAATTTGGGGTAATTTGAATAGCATATTAAAATCAGGTCCTCTTTGGGCTCTAAATCAATGTCAGTCCATGTTTGAGAAAAAGGCTTAGTGATTAACTTGATAACAGCCAATTACAACATTATCTAGGCTGAAAACTACTTCCTTCCAAATTGATTTTATTTATTCTAATTATTTTATCTTTCCTTCTTATGTTCTATATAGTCTTCCTTTGAGGGAAACAATCTATGCCTCACTAAGAACAGTTCTAGGCTATATTTTTTTTATTCATTAAGAAGTCATTATGTAAGACTGTATCACCCTGTCAAGATCATAAGGAATCTGATAAATTGTCAGGTGGTGAGGTAATGTTACCCTGAGTGAGTCATGTAACATGGCATTTTCAGCCCTTAGCAATGCATCATCCACATCTTCCCTACATCTCTGTGTTAAGGGCCTTAGGAGGTCATTCAGGGGCATGCAGTTTTAGCCACGACTTGGAGAGCCATTTATCACTATCTAACTTCACATAAAAATTTTCTCGTATATTTATGGGGCAATACATGGCATGTGGGCTTTTCATTTGAGTGGATTTTAATAGATTTGCATACATCTTATTGTGGGCAGCGTAGAAGGGCCAGTGAGATACAGACATAGATTTTGGGACCTCTCTCATTTCCAGGATGCCTGAGTTTGTAAAAGGATAAGACAGGGTGATGAACTTTCCTTTGCAAGCCCCAAGAAGAACACATCTGTAATGGGAGTGCTCTTTTTCAATCTAAAAAACAAAGTTCAGTGGATTAGTAACACAACTCTCTAGTTCAGTGGATAATTAACACAACTTAATAAAGAACTTAATGACACAATGAGGAAGAAGAGTTACTTCTTATTAAACTTCTATTGGAACTGGTTCTCAAATATAGGACCTCTTTAGGACCTCCATGTTTTTCTAATCGTTCAGCAGCCAGTTATCTCAACCCATTGTCTTGCTACCACATTCTTCCCACCGAACCACTTTTCTGAACACCTTTCTGTGTCCCTTCCTCCTGAAATGTTCTGTCTTATGGAACATTTCAGGAGAAAGTTGCATGCTTTTGAATACTGGCTCTATTCAAGTATGTTATTTTTAAATCCTATCTCTGTAAGATATTTTTGTTTATTTACATATTTTTTTCTCATTCCTCAGAACTGCTGGCTGCACTATTTACAAATTGTTTTCAAATTCCTGAATCACTATCCCTTTCTCTAAAACTTGCACCATTTCTCTTATTACTGTTTTGAAGTTCATTTTGAGCCACAATTCCTCTCCATGCTCTTGAATGGAATAAAACATG
Source organism: Homo sapiens (assembly GCF_000001405.40). NCBI lineage: Eukaryota > Metazoa > Chordata > Mammalia > Primates > Hominidae > Homo > Homo sapiens. The sequence goes on from NC_000010.11 coordinate 53,698,156, forward strand.
CTTTATAACTCATGGCAATTCTTTCTTTTGCCTCCCATTCTAGCTATTATAATGAAGGGATAAGTTGTTCAACAGTAGACTAAAGCAGGTAAATGGGCTTTACATTTACTCTACATACTCCTGCATATCCACTGCTGTACCATACCTCTTTCCTGAGAATTCACTCTCAGATTTGTTTCTTTTACTCTCCATTTTGATTGGTAGGTTTTAGTATCTCTGCTTGTATCTTGTTACCTATTGGTATCTTTCTCTGCCAAGCCTGTAGATATATTCTCCCTCTTGGATTAGTGTCTGTTAGGAGCATTGTTGTTCAATAAAGGGAAATGCTAATATTATGGGTTCTAGGGGCAATGAGCCTTGACTTGTGAGCCTATGTGAACAAGTTATTTGATGATCCTAAGTTTTAGTTTCCTCATTTCAATAATTGAAATAAACAATATAATAAGGCATTTTATTAGTTTTCTACTGTTTTATAGCAAATTTTCCTAAAATTAGTAGTTTAAAATTACACAAATCTATCATATCACAATTTCTGTTGGTCAAATTAACTGGTTCTTTGATTCAGGGGCTCACCAGGCTGAAAACAAGGTGTCAGAAAGAGCTACAAGTTCACCTGAGGCTTGGAGTCCTCTTCCAAAGTCACTTGTTCTAGCAGAATTTAGTTATTTGCGGTGGCGAAGGCTGAGGTTCTCATTTTCTTTTTCTTCTTCTTTTTTGTTTTGAGACAGAGTCTCACTCTGTCGCCCAGGCTGGGGTGCAGTGGCGCGATCGATCTCGGCTCACTGCAGTTTCCGCCTCCCGGGTTCACGCCATTCTCCTGCGTCAGCCACCCAAGTAGCTGGGACTACAGGTGCCCACCACCATGCCCGGCTAATTTTTTGTAGTTTTAGTAGAGACGGGGTTTCACCGTGTTATCCAGGATGGTCTCGATCTCCTGACCTCGTTATCCACCCGCCTCGGCCTCCCAAAGTGCTGGGATTACAGGCGTGAGCCACCGCTCCCGGCCTCATTTTCTTGTTTGCTTGCTGTCAAGCAGGAGCCATTCTCAGCTCCTAGATGCACCAATCATTCCCTGTACAAAGTAGCGCTTTGCTCCTTTAAGGCCAGCAGAAGAACCTATCACGCTTAAAATTTCTTGAACATCTCCCTTAATGGGGACAGTCCCACCCTGGATAATCTCCCTTATGATTAAGTTATAAGTCAACTAAAAGGAACATTAATTTCGTCTGTAAAATTCCTCCTGCTACATAAAGTAATCATGGGAGTAATATTACATTTTATTTATGAGTCCTGCTCACACGTCAGGGAGGAAATTACATACAGCATGAACACCAAGGGGTAGGAACCCTGGGGACCCTATTTAAATTCTACCTACCACAGATACCGAGTTCATAAAATTACTATGAGGGTTAAACTGGTGGTCAAAGGACCAGAAAACAGATTACTTATTTTTGAATTATTTTTAGATTTGAGTCTCGGTAGCATCTGATCTGCTTTCTTACAACAATAAACCTGTGCATACTGTTAAAATTTTAGTAAGGTCAGATTTCTATCGTACGTCCTAAGGAAACAACAAACTGCTATTCAAATACAACTGTATGACATTAAGAACCATCTGGAGAACTGACATGGAAATCTGGAAGAGATTACTGAGTAAAATGAGAAATTTAAGTGGAGAAGAGTGAGGCAAGCTGGAAGATGGAAGAGGCAGACAAAACTGTATCTTGCTATCTATCTAATGTGATTACGCTGAGTACTTTCTCTGTTTATTTGCAGTTTAATGGTTCCCTTGAACTGTCTTTGCTAAAAAATTATAGCAAATCCACATGATTTGTGTTCCTCAGTTCTACATGGAGACTTAAATGAAACATTTCAGGGTTTGGAGTTGGTAACCATCTTTTCTCCCCTTCTTTCCATCAGAACAGCCTTAGATCACAATTGAGTACTGGCCACCTTTTGGGACCTCATGCATTTTATTGATACGTTGTTACTTTCAAAACAACTACTGTTATTTTTATGCTCTAAACAGCAACTGTTGAAGTCTAGAGAAAGACCTATAGTGGTCTCATCAGTCACACTGTTCTTGACATCTTCAGAGGGAAATTCTTAAAGAGAAAACAGGTATCTGTCACACAATATTTTATCCCACACACTCAGTAACTTACACTTTTCGTGGTTGGGAATATAAGTGACATACTGATCTTACACGAATGAATTTCCATTCCAAACAGCACAGCCGCAATTTTTCCTTTGTATTAAGCACTGAGCAGGTGGTGTTTTCTAATCACTCATGCTCAGCTCATCTGCTGTCACAAGCAACAGAGATCAAAGATGTGTGCTGTTGCCTGTGTGTAAAATGATGATGAATAGAACAAGGTTGTATATGCTTTGATCGGGAAACATTTAATTTGAAATCCATGGCAACAGAAATGTGTGAGGTGGGGCTGAGCCCTCCTCTGTCATAAAAAAGTAATTCAACATCATCTAGCAATCCTTCGGCTTGGTTCTTGTCACTACTGCGGTATAGTGAATTAGAGCACAGAATCAATGGTAGAAGTGGCAAGACATTACCTCTGGTTAATAACACAAAGTTTTTCTGCAGCAACAGTACCTTCAAAACTGTACTAAATGTTTGTCCTCTGTGGTCTCAAATAACCTCATTTTAATTCTTATATCCTGTGTTTTTTTCATATATTAAATGTCTTGAACTATTTACCTTTCTCACTACATTGCAAGATTTTTGAAGGTCGTATTACTCCTACTTTGCTTTTCTGACTCCTTGTTCGATATTTGACAGCTGGTAGACGCTCAGCAAATATGTATTTTTAAATAGAATATACTCAAACACAAATATAAATACCACTTTGCTGAGGAATTTCAAAGCTACCTGATCTTTAGACTATAATATGTTCAATCATTTCAGTAAGTTTAATGTTGACCTTTATGTTGAGCAGGTCAATAAATTTTAAGATACTCTATTACAGTTATAATTTTACATACATTAAACTAATAAAGTAGAGCTGATGACTTTTTGTTGAAATAGCTTTTACAAGTAACAATTTCATTATTCTCCAGACTTGAACTAGTAGATAAATAGCATCTATTTCTTCTTTGGAAGTATAGCCACTTTACCCTCTAAGGCTCTTATCCTGAGGCAAGATTTGCCATTTTAGAGATGAATCTTCTATTAGGTAGACAACTGCATTAATAATTGGAATGAGTCATTAGAGGAATTAGCTATCAACTGGAAATCCATTCAGGATACAACAATGGGGTAATTTATATAACAGCAGTTTCCTGAAATTAATATTTTCCAGCAACCTGTGAGATTTATCAGTCACAGTCTAAACAGTTCAATGAGACCATGTTTTAGTCATGGTAATTTCTGACTTAATGCCCATTCATTTGTTGAGTGTGAACTAGTGGATTCAAGAGAAAAGTAGACTTGATATGGAAAAAACAAAGATCTCCTTAGCGTTATGAGATAAGGCTCTGGAACAGAAGCCACCAGATAGTTAAAACGGTTGTACTCTCTGTGGCTTTTTACCCTATCTGCAAAATCAAAAGTGTAATAATCTTGTAAACTGCTTAAAGTTCAGTAATTTGCTTTCATGGTTACTGCATAATATTTAGGAATGTTAAGGTTAGACTTTGTTTGCTAAAAGAAATTGTAATATCTAATGTAAAAAATTGATAGTAATTCTCTATGTATATCTTAAGCTACTTTATAATACTTTATAAGTATCCTCTGGAATAGGCTCTGCAATAGATTGGAGATGATGAAAGAAAGACACGTTTTCTCTCAATGACATGAAAATTTATTTCATGAAAATAGATGAAAAATTATATATCCATATATAAATGTATATACTATATACGTATATAAATGTATATACTATATATAATATATAAATGTATATACTATATACGTATATAAATGTATATACTATATATAATATATAAATGTATATACTATATATACATATATAAATGTATATACTATATATACTAAAAATGCAAAAATTAGCTGGGCATGGTGGCAGGTGCTTATAATCCCAGCTACTTGGGAGGCTGAGGCAAGAGAATCACTTGAATCTGGGAGGCAGAGGTTGCGGTGGACAGAGATCACACCACTGCACTCCAGCCTGGGCAACAAAGTTAGACTCTGTCTCAAAAAGAAAATAATAAAAATAAAAATCTAGTGTATATCTAGTGACTGTATATATATATACACATAAACACACACACACCCCTACATATATGACGTTTCATATTATATATATATATATATATAAAATGTTATTAAGTGTACATAAATACAATTCAAAGGCTGAGAGGACCAGAAGTTAAAAACCTCTGAGTCAGATGAAAGATGGAATTCAGAAAAGACTTTCTTGAGATCCAAATTATTTGTAAGAAACTCACAAAGGCAGAAGCACACATTGGGGGAGGAAGAGTGTACTAGGAATAAAGGCATTTTGAAAGGCAGGGACAGCACGGTAAATCAAGGTCAGTGAGACACTTGCTGGCAGGACCCCAAGGGCCACTTGAGAGAATAAAGTGACATGAGATTAATGAACCATAGCTGCTGAAAAGGCCTGCACAGAGCCATGTGCTTTCTATAGGAGAGGTGCTTTATGTTCTTGGGCAGGTGAACAAAATACAAAAGAAAATTCTTCGAGATGATCATAATAATAGCTTACATTTATTGATGCTTATTTGTCAAAAAATATATGCCTTAACTCATTTCTCATGGCAAACCTATGAAGTAGGTACTATTAATATTAGCTATATTTTTAACTCAATTTAATAGAAGATAAGTGATACAGAGAGAAGTTTTGTAACTTAAGACACAGAGAATAAATGATACAGTAGACGTTCTAATGCAATTAGCCTGACTAGACACCCCATAACAATCACCATAGCTGCTGCTCAAGGTAGTTCCTTTAGAAGCCAGCAAAATATTGAAAGAAATGGGTCAAATCTTATTATAATAAAATCAACCTAAAGTTCAAGGCAATTCATTTTTAATAGAAACGGCCTTCAGAGGAGAAAAAAAGAAAAAAGAAATTCTTATTTACTCCTAATATATCACTATCTCGAACAATAAATTTGGGATACTTTTTGTTATGATGGAGAATTATTTATTCATACTCAGAACTGCTAGATTGAAAATAAAGTATGATTCAAGTCAACACAAGGAAAAATGCAAGGCGTATGTTCCAGCTAGAAATTCTTTTTGATGTAGTAGAATCTATTCTTGACCCAGAAACAGAAAAATGTAACCTGAATCTAGAAATGGCAGTGAAATATTGCAGGGAAAAGGTAATCTCTAGGAGAAAACCTGGACACAGGCAAGAAGGGGAATAAGAAGTTCAATGGAGAAAAGTGTACTGGAAGGGGACCTTTTGAGTTTTCATACTCTAAATGTGAATTAAAATAATAATTGTCTGCTAGGAGACAATATTACTTAAGTCCCTTGTCTGCCGCATAGAAAATTTTATTTTTAAAAAACAAGCCTATTAGTTGTCTAATTCATTCATTTAGTCATGAATTTATCTGTTTAAATATCAATAGGAGTACAACTTTGAAATGGTATGTTCATTTGATGTTTATGACTTTCAAAATAATCTGTCACTTTCTCTAGTCCCTTTTTTTTCACAAGGAAAAATAGAAATTATTTTACTTTATTTATATATATTTTTTTATTATACTTTAAGTTCTAGGGTACATGTGCACAACGTAGAGGTTTGTTACATATGTATACATGTGCCATGTTGGTGTGCTGCACCCATTAACTTATCATTTACATTAGGTATATCTCCTAATGCTATCCCTCCCCCGTTTCCCCACCCGACAACAGGCCCCAGTGTGTGATTTTCCCCTTCCTGTGTCCACGTGTTCTCATTTTTCAATTCCCACCTATGAGTGAGAACATGCAGTGTTTGGTTTTTTGTCCTTGTGATAGTTTCCAGCTTCATCTACATCCCTACAAAGGACATGAACTCATCATTTTTATGGCTGCATAGTACTCCATGGTGTATTATGTGCCACATTTTCTTAATCCAGTCTATCATTGTTGGACATTTGGGTTGGTTCCAAGTCTTTGCTATTGTGAGTAGTGCCGCAATAAACATACGTGTGCATGTGTCTTTATAGCAGCATGATTCCTAGTCCTTTGGGTATATACCCAGTAATGGGATGGCTGGGTCAAATGGTATTTCTAGTTCTAGATCCCTGAGGAATCGCCACACTGTCATCCACAATGGTTGAAGTAGTTTACATTCCCACCAACAGTGTAAAAGTGTTCCTATTTCTCCACATCCTCTCCAGCACCTGTTGTTTCCTGACTTTTTAATGATCACCATTCTAACTGGTGTGAGATGATATCTCATTGTGGTTTTGATTTGCATTTCTCTGATGGCCAGTGATGATGAGCATTTTTTCATGCATCTGTTGGCTGCATAAATGCCTTCTTTTGAGAAGTGTCTGTTCACATCCTTTGCCCACTTTTTGATGGGGTTGTTTTTTTCTTGTAAATTTGTTTGAGTTCTTTGTAGATTCTGGATATTAGCCCTTTATCAGATGAGTAGATTGCAAAAATTTTCTCCCATTCTGTAGGTTGCCTATTCACTCTGATGGTAGTTTCTTTTGCTGTGCAGAAGCTCTTTAGTTTAATTAGATCCCATTTGTCAACTTTGGCTTTTGTTGCCATTGCTTTTGGTGTTTTAGACATGAAGTCCTTGCCCATGCCTATGTCCTGAATGGTATCGCCTAGGTTTTCTTCTAGGGTTTTTATGGTTTTAGGTCTAACATTTAAGTCTTTAATCCATCTTGAATTAATTTTTGTATAAGGTGTAAGGAAGGGATCCAGTTTCGGCTTTCTACATATGGCTAGCCAGTTTTCCCAGCACTATTTGTTAAATAGGGAATCCTTTCCCCATTTCTTGTTTTCATCAGGTTTGTCAAAAATCAGATGGTTGTAGATGTGTGGTATTATTTCCGAGGGCTCTATTCTGTTCCATTGATCTATATCTCTGTTTTGGTACCAGTACCATGCTGTTTTGGTTACTGTACCCTTATAGTATAGTTTGAAGTCAGGTAGCGTGATGCCTCCAGTTTTGTTCTTTTGGCTTAGGATTGACTTGGTGATGCGGGCTCTTTTTTGGTTCCATATGAACTTTAAAGTAGTTTTTTCCAATTCTGTGAAGAAAGGCATTGGTGGCTTGATGGGGATGGCATTGAATCGATAAATTACCTTGGGCAGTATGGCCATTTTCACGATATTGATTCTTCCTGTCCATGAGCATGGAATGTTCTTCCATTTGTTTGTGTCCTCTTTTATTTCATTGAGCAGTGGTTTGTAGTTCTCCTTGAAGAGGTTCTTCACATCCCTTGTAAGTTGGATTCCTAGGTATTTTATTCTCTTTGAAGCAATTGTGAATGGGAGTTCACTCATGATTTGGCTCTCTGTTTGTCTGTTATTGGTGTATAAGAATGCTTGTGATTTTTGCACATTGATTTTGTATCCTGAGACTTTACTGAAGTTGCTTATCAGCTTACAGAGATTTTGGGCTGAGACAATGGGGTTTTCTAGACATGCAATCATGTCATCTGCAAACAGGGACAATTTGACTTCCTCTTTTCCTAATTGAATGCCCTTTATTCCCTTCTCCTGCCTGATTGCCCTGGCCAGAACTTCCAACACTATGTTGAAAAGGAGTAGTGAGAGAGGGCATCCCTGTCTTGTGCGGGTTTTCAAAGGGAATGCTTCCAGTTTTTGCCCATTCAGTATGATATTGGCTGTGGGTTTGTCCTAAATAGCTCTTATTGATGACATCAGTACCTAATTTATTGAGAGTTTTTAGCATGAAGTGCTGTTGAATTTTGTCAAAGGCCTTTTCTGCATCTATTGAGATAATCATGTGGTTTTCGTCTTTGGTTCTGTTTATATGCTGGGTTACGTTTATTGATTTGCGTATGTTGAACCAGCCTTGCATCCCAGGGATGAAGCCCACTTGATCATGGTGGATAAGCTTTTCAACGTGCTGCTGTATTTGGTTTGCCAGTATTTTATTGAGGATTTTTGCATTGATGTCCATCAGGGATATTGGTCTAAAATTCTCTTTTTTTGTTGTGTCTCTGCTAGGCTTTGGTATCAGGATGATGCTGGCCTCATAAAATGAGTTAGGGAGGATTCCCTCTTTTTCTATTGATTGGAATAGTTTCAGAAGGAACGGTACCAGCTCCTCCTTGTACCTCTGGTAGAATTTGGCTGTAAATCCATCTGGTCCTGGACTTTTTTTGGTTGGTAAGCTATTAATTATTGCCTCAGTTTCAGAGCCTGTTATTCAGAGATTCAATTACTTCCTGGTTTAGTCTCGGGAGGATGTATGTGTCCAGGAATTTATCCATTTCGTCTAGATTTTCTAGTTTATTTGTGCAGAGGTGTTTATAGTATTCTCTGATCGTAGTTTGTATTTCTGTGGGCTTGGTGGTGATATCCCCTTTATCATTTTTATTGCATCTATTTGATTCTTCTCTCTTCTCTTCTTTATTACTCTTGCTAGGGGTCTATCAATTTTGTTGATCTTTTCAAAAAGCCAGCTCCTGGATTCATTGATTTTTTGAAGGGATTTTTGTGTCTCTATCTCCTTCAGTTCTGCTCTGATCTTAGTTGTTTCTTGCCTTCTGCTAGCTTTTGAATGTGTTTGCTCTTGCTTCTCTAGTTCTTTTAATTGTGATGTTAGGGTGTCAATTTTAGATCTTTCCTGCTTTCTCTTGTGGGCATTTAGTGCTATAAATTTCTCTCTACACACTGCTTTAAAAATAGTCCCTTTTTATGATACTGTCCTTTATAAAGTTTGTCTTCCTCTGTTTCCCTAAGTGTATTTTAATATTTCAAGCACTACTTCAATTTTTGCATTTTCCATTAACCTTTTGCTCTACCTCTTAACGTTCATGTATTTTTTTTAATTATTATGCTTTAAGTTCTGGGATACCTGTGCAGATCGTGCTGTTTTGTTACATAGGTATACACGTGCCATGGTGGTTTGCTGCACCCATCAACCCATCATCTACATTAGGTATTTCTCATAATGTTATCCCTCCCCTAGCCCCCCAGCCCCTGACAGGCCCAGTGTGTGATGTTACCCTCCCTGTGTCCCTGTGTTCTCATTATTCAACTCCCACTTAACCTTTCATGTATTTTTCACATTTGTTCTTTCCCTGAATGTTGACATCCTATCATTATTCAAGTTTTTTCTATTCTATTTAGTCCTTCTTATGTAATTAAATATGCTAAAAGTGATAACATCTTCCTATTAATTTAAGCATAAACTGTATATTAGGTATCATGATAGTTACAGGGATACAATAAATCCTACAGAATGATGTAGTTCCCTGGGAAGAATATATTCAGTAGAGAAAAGACTAGCTTCACAAACATGCACAGGGATCCATGCTCAGAAGGGATCTGCCTGTGGTTTAATTCTCTGATGTTGTCAGCTTAAATTTCTTAATAATTTTTGAATAAGACTCCTCCACCATTTACATTTTGCACTGAACCATGCCAGTGATATAGCTGGTCCTCAGTGGAAAAGCAGACTTTTAAACGGGCAAGAAATACAACGTGAGGCACTGTAATAGAGGAACTACATGAATCAGTAGATGACAGTAGAGGGACTACCAATAAACACCTAACCTTAAAATGATGACGGAGAGGAGGGTCAGGCAATGTTTTCTTACAGGAGGTGTTATCTAAGCTAAGCTATGAGGGGTGTGTCAGAGTTATCAAGGCAAGGTAGTGAGAGAGGTTGAGAAGGTGAGAGATAGAACTGCATGAGTAAAAATACAGAAGACAGAAGGGCACAGAGCATAACTTCTTTTTTAGATTTTCATTATATCATGCAAATAAATATATTTAGTATGATTTTCCCTGTTTTATGACAATTACACACTAATGTCCAAAACTAGGATAAAGAAACGCTACTTATTCAAGCATTCTAATGGCGTGGTCAACAATTAGCATGAAGTTGCTGTTATATGTACAGACTTGACAAAAATAGCCCATCCACAATCAACTCCCACATCACCACATCCAGTTTAAATAATGCAGGACTGAGGAGAGAGAATTTTCAGCTTTGTAGAGACTGCACTGCTCCTGATAACAGGTCATTCCCATTGGTGATGGAGAAGGATACTGCCACTTCAGAATATTACTCTTAGAGATTGGGGTGTTTTCAATAATACAATACCATGTGTTTTGTTTTATTCTGTTTTGTCAAGAAGGACAAATGTTAAGTCGCAGACATGATAAACTGCCACTGCTCCTGTATCTGATCCTATTCGGCTCAAACCAATCTATACATAAGAAAAGAGAATCTTGAAGAGATTCCGCTGTGAAAAGAAGAAGCAGGAATAAATAAAAGAGCTGAGAGTCCACTATTTGGCATGGTAAGCAGTGTTTGTATCTTGTAGGTCAAGGGGCAAGTAGCTGATCCTAAGTCATCTTTCTAGTATATCTCCTCAAACTTCACCCTCCACCAAGAAGAATGTTCAAATGGAGAACAGACTCTTAACAGTAAGAGACTACATTTTATACAGCTGGTACAGGAGCTGACAGATGAAGGAAGATGTGAAGAACCAGAGCTGGACTTGAATGGGGCTAGATATTCATGACAGAGAATGTTTCAGTGTAAAGGTACAAAATAATTCACATACAGACTCTATTACAGATCAGTGTTTGTACTCCTGTCACTCCATTGTTATGCAAAGAATCACTGACACCAAAGAGAAGACTCAGATGGAAGCTAAATTAAGAAACACTTTCTTCCACTGAACTTCAGTGCACTGGAATATTTTTGAAGAGACTTGGAGGAAGAGCTGTCCCAGAACCAGACAACACATTTCCCCCTTTCACACGTGTAAGCTGGGTGCATGCACATACACTGAGCCCTGGCCACTTCAAGCAGTATACACTCTCACACTTGTTCTAGATTGACAGAGGAAAGGAAATAAAAGAAGCAAAATCTAGTTCAAATGTAATACTTTTTATTGACCAAATGTAACCTCGTGTTTTGGTAATTTGCCCAAGATATATTTAAAGAATAAAAAAGAAACTTTATAAAGGCACATTTGAACAGATATTTGTATTCCTTATTACAGGAAAATTTTTTGAAGGCAGACACCATAATGAAAAAAACTGGGTTTTATTTGTATTAATTAAAGTTTAAAACTATTCTATGTGGAAACATACATGCACAATCAATTTGAAGATAAATTATAGCCATGTGTGGTGGCTCACATTTGTAATCCCTGCACTTTAGGAGGGCAAGGTGGGCAGATCACCTGAGGTCACGAGTTAGAAACCAGCCTAGCCACCATGGTGAAACCCCATCTCTACTAAAAATACAAAAATTAGCTAGGCAGGGTGGTGCACACCTGTAATCCCAGCTACTCAGTAGGCTGAGGTGGGAGAATCACTTGAACCCAGGAGGTGGAGGTTGCAGTGAGTTGAGATCACGCCGCTGCACTCCAACCTGGACATCAGAGTGAGACTCCATCTCAAGAAAAAAAAAAAGGTAAATAATCTTGATAAACTAGAATAAACATTTACAACATATAGAGTAACAGACATACAGTCTTAAGATAACATTATTTATGATAAAGAAAACAGCAATGCAGTCATAATTTGTTTATTTATTTTTTTTAAATAATGGTGGTGGGTCAACTGAATGGGAGGAAAAGTATCTTGATCCCAAGCTAACACTATGTCAAAAAAATTAATGAAGTATGAATTGTAGATTTAAATGTACAAATAAAACAAAACAGGGCCAGGCATAGTGGCTCATGCCTGTAATCTCAGTACTTTGGGAGGCCAAGGCGGGTGGATCACTGGGGGGTCGGGAGTTCAAGACCAGCCTGACCAATATGGAGAAACCCCATCTCTACTAAAATGCAAATTAGCCGAGTGTGGTGGCACATGTCAGTAATCCCAGCTGCTTGGGAGGCTGAGGCAGGAGAATTGCTTGAACCCAGGAGTTGGAGGTTTTGGTGAACTGAGATTGTACCACTGCACTCCAGCCTGGGAAACAGAGTGAGACTCTCTTTCAAAAACAAAACAAAACAAACAGATTTAATTTAAATATTTTAAATGACAATAAAAAAGAATATCTCAGTAACGTGGATTAGAAAAAGATATTTTGAACAGAATAGCATAACAAACCTTAATATTTTTAAAAATGGCAAATTGAATTACATTAAAGTTAAGAATGTCTATCAAAAATGCTATTGAAATAAAGAAAGTACAAGCCACAGAGTGAGAGGTAATACTTGAAATATATATATCCGGGAAAAAACTATACCTAGAATATATAAAGGACTTTTACTAATCAACTAAAGACAGGTCATCTGATAGAAAGATGGGCAAAAGACTTGAACAGGCACCTCACAACATATAATGGTCAAATGATGAATAAACATTAAAAAGCCATTCGCCACCTTTAGTCCTGAGGGAAATAAAAATTAAAATCATATTTCAATACCAGAATGGCTGAAATGAATAGTGCCTACCATGTATGGTTAAAAATATGGAGCAACTAGAACTCACCTTCATGTTTGGGAAGAATGTAAACTGGTACAACCACTTTGGAAACTGTTGGGTAACACTAGATGATAGTGAACATAGGCATAGCCTACAATACAGCAACTAACATATAGATTATACCTTTATTTACAGCTACCAAAAGGGATGTAGGGAATGTTCATAGCAGCATCCTTTGCAATAGTGAGAAACAATGCAGGTATTCAACAAAAGTAGGATTAAATTAGTTGCTGCGTAGGCATGCGAGGTAACACTATGTAGCAGTGAGAATTAGTGAACAACCCTCAGCAACCTGAATCAATCTTGGAAGCATAATATTTTGCAAACCAAACTATTTTACTAAAAGAACATTTTTATTTTTATGTTTTTATTTTTTAACATTATTATTATTATTATTATTTGAGACAGAGTTTCACTCTTGTTGCCCAGGCTGGAGTGCAATGGCACGATCTCAGCTCACTGCAACCTCTGCCTCCTAGGTTCAAGTGATTCTCTCGTCTCAGTCTGCCAAGCAGCTGGGATTACAGGTACCCACCACTATGCCCGGTTAATTTTGTATTTTTAGTAGAGACAGGGTTTTGCCATGTTGGTCAGGTTGATCTTGAACTGCTGACCTCAGGTGATCCACCCACCTCGGCCTCCCAAGGTGCTGGGATTACAGGTGTGAGCCAATGTGTCTGGCCAGACATTTTTATTTTTACTTTTAAAAGTGAAAAAGAGAAAACAATTCAAATGTTCAATCAAAGAACAAATATATTGGGATTTACAAAACAATTGAATACTATGTAATACGTTATTAAAATGATAGCATAGATAGAGCAGGGTTTAGCCCGCTGGCCAAATCCAATCTTCTGCCAGTTTCTGTAAATTCAGTTTTATTGGAATGCAGACATGCTCCTTCACTTGCATATTGTCTATAGCTGCTTTTGCTGTATAACAGTTATAAAACAGTCTAAATGCCCCACAAAGCCTAAAATATTTACTATTAGGCCCTTTACAGCAAAAGTGTGCCCATCCCTGGCATAGAGGAATAATTAATAATATGAAAAATTTTAACTATCAATTGGATATAGTTATCAAAATACATCAGAGTTTTTGCTTTATATACCCAATAAATAAGAATAGTAAAACATTCAAAGTTTTGTTCTGTTAAGAGTAGAAACAGAGAATGATTGGCAGTGTGTATATTGTTGCTATGGAAACACACTGTAAACTTTGAAGATGCTATATATTTTACTAGATTAAATAATAAAGTCCCAGCAGTATGCCATTTTTAAAAATAGCACACACAGGATTTGAAGGAATCCACTAATAGAATCAAGGGGTCATATATGTTTGACATTAAGGAAGTTTGACATTAAGCCAGTGTTAAAGTGTTAAAAATTATAAGGTAAATTTGATATTTGTTTGACATGTAAGCCAATTTTAGATTAATAGACTCTCAGCACAGGCAGAAAATTTAAAAGCCATCCCAGTCAAGCACCTAGCGTATGCTTTTCTACTTACCATTATACCTGTAACAAATAGCTGTTGGATGTGGTTTGGATGCCTCAAAGTCTAGAAATTCATTCCTCCTGAGGCAAATCTGTTTTTGAACAACTAATTTCTGAGAAGTTTTTTCTACTAATGAGAGAAAACTGTATCTTGGTTCTTCTTTTTGGTGAAGGCAAAACCACCAAATTCCTCTGAATTATTCACTTCCATAATGCCTTGATGTGCTTTACTACTCATTGTAACAGGGAAATGCAGGAGGGCCATTTGGCCTTGAGCTCACTAGCCTTAAATGTAAACTTTGACATTATTTTAAATAATGTCACTGTAATTTTTTTTGTAAGAGTAAAGTGTTAATTTCTTAATACAGCACAAATAACCCATTTTTTATTACTATCATTTGCCATTGATTAACTTTTAAACATACTGGGACCCAAAAAATTAAGAGGTTCAGGCCTTTCTAGTCTTTGGAGACCACTGCATATATAGACAGCATTATTGGAAGAGCATGGTAGTATCTATAGTGTACAAAAATATAATTTAGATACCTGAAAAAAAAACTTTCTTTTTTTTTAATATTGGAAGATAATTTAATCATTCAACATATTTGTACTGATTTCCTGTTGTGATTCCAGAAGTTGAGAATATAGCTATAAATAAGACAGGTAAAAATCCTTGTCCTTTTAGAGTTTACATTTTAGTGCTGAGAAACAGAATATAAACATATAAAAATAAGTAAAATAAATAATATAATTTAAAATATCAATAAAATTTACAAAGAAAATAAAAATGTGTAATGGAATAAATAATTATCCGTTTAGATATTCAAGAAAGATCTTTCTGAAGAAGGAACATGTAAATGAGTCTGAATAAGAGAAGGTATTATCCTTGCAGTCCCTCAAGTTAGATATTTCTTCAAAAATACAAAGCTTGTCAGCAAGGGCAAAGGCCCGGAGGCACAAATGAGTTTTGCTTATTCAAGGGAGAACCAGAAAGAAGCCAGTATACCTGGTGAATGTTAATCAAGGAAGAAAATATTAGGATATGAAGATAGAGAAATAAGTGAATACCATTCTAAATGCAAGAAGACATTGGGAAGGAGAGGGAGAAGTATGCCTCACTCAAATTCTTTGGATACCCTCTGAAACCCTAATATATTTCTGTGCTTTTAGAGGACTTCATTTGCTCCAGGGATAAGACAGACTTCATACCACCTCCACATGAATGTTTTTTTGGATAAAAAAGAATTGGATTATAAGAGACTGTGAAAGGAAAATAAAATATCAGGAACCCAAACTCACTATGCCAAGGGGAAAAGTCAGGCTTATGGGAACTGAGTCATGAAAATACTGCCTTCCTTTTATTTGCAAGCAGCTGCAATTTCACATGCTTGTTTGTCTTATGTAAAATGTAGATTTACTGAGTGCTAGATGAATACATAATTGACTTCTCCTCCACTCTTTTCTTTTCACAAGTAAAATGTACATTCATGCAGCACACATCAGAGCCACATGAGAATGTAAGCACTTGCCTCATTTCTTTACTCTCCCTCCTTTTATTTTTCTGTCCCCTCCATCTTGCTCTCTCCCCTTTAAATATTGAAGTTCCCAAAACCCTCTCTTTGGAAAACACACAGGACGCAGGTCCTACTGTGACTTGTGTTTATTTTCTCTGGGCACAGCCTCAACCTTGGCAAAAATCATCCTCTAAATCGATGGAGATCTGCCTCCATCACTTTTTGGTTTACAGAACCTTTGAGCAAAAGCAGAAAGACTAGTTAGGAGATTGTTATGCTAGTCCCAGCAAAGTTGATGGTTTGACATGGATTAAAGTAGAAGCTATGCAGTGCCACGGACACACAGATTTATTGCATGCGAAGACCCAACTATTGATTAATTATTAAAGACATTTTTATTCCTTGAGCAAATAAAATGTTTTAACAACACAGGAACAAACTGGGGAAATCAGAGTGTACTAAGAAGCGTCGGATGGCCAAGGGCACATTTTCAGTCCCCTTAGCAAACTTGTACCCTAGTAGTATCCGTTATTACTGGGCCATTGTTTAAAGGGTCCTATGATATTCATATTATCATCTTGGTGGGGGACTGCCTTCTGTTATCATATCCTAGCTATTCAGATTACAGAAACTGACTCAGTTAATTTTCATATATGCTTTTAAATCAGCAGCAACTATATGCCACTTATTCAATGCTGGGTTTTTCCAGGTCTGTGGAAGTGATTCTCTGAATATATCCAAACTTCTGGAGCTAGTCACCCTTCATGATCTTTAAAAAGTTACAAAACATAGTCAGTTTTGAGGATGAAACCATGTCAGAGTCTAACAAATGCTTAGTTCAATCAGAAGATGGTCTCTAAAACTTTTAAGACCTTCCCATATAAACTAGTGGTTATTACACGAGAACTTCCTCCAGTACACATTTGATGAGTTGATGCTAAACAGATAGATTCTAAATCAGGTCTCTCATATGAGAAGGTTTTCTGGGTATTTTGCAGTCCCTCTGAATCATTTATCCAGTTAATGCTCAAATTATCCATTAACTGCTTTTATCTGAACAGGTTAATTCAGCTTTAACTTCTGCTTTAAAACTTAAAAATTGAAACATTCATTCAAAGATGTCAGTTCACTCACAGTTTTTCCTTAATAATTAAACTTTCCAACTGATCAAAAAACTTGGTAAAAAAGTCTCCCTTTACAAATAAAAAGACAATATAGAGAAAAGCATGAAAGGAGTATGAGATGCCACATTGTTCCCTGTCCAGTCTTTAAACACATTGAAATATAATTCCTCAACTTACATCTATAAGCTCATTAAACATTATTTCTGGGCATGTCTGTGGAGGAGTTTCTGGAAAAGATTGGCAAATTAGCGGACTAAGCGAAGAAGATCTGTCCTCATCAATGTAGGAGGGCATCACCCAATCCATTGAGGGCCTGCCAAGAACAAAATGCAGAGGAAGGGCACATTCTCCCTCTTCTTGAGATTGGGACATCAATTTTCTCCTGGCATTGGACATCTGCTCCTGTTTTAAGGCCTGAAGCTTCAGGCTAAATTACACCACTAGCTTTCTTGGATCTCCAGCTTGCAGGTGACAGATGTGGGATTTGGATTCCATAATCATGTGAAATAATTCCCATAACAGATTTCCTCTCATGTATCTATATCTATATCTATATCTATATCTATATTTATATCTATATCTATACATCCTGTTGGTTTGTTTGTCTGGAGAATCCTAATATAATAACCTACCTTATAGGAATACAAATTTTAAAGTAAAACATTTAATCATATCTTTGATTAGTAAACTTCTGTAAATCCCAGTCTCCTCATCTGTAAAGTGAGGGTCAAAATAGTGCATGCTTTGCAATACTCTTGTGATCGTAAGCACACCAAAAATATATTCTTTAATCTTTTATTTCATATATCTATATATCCTTTTCTTATTAAGTTTCTAAGCATTATAGGCCCCGTGCTATTAATAGTTATTTTTAAATATTTCACCACTTAACCCTTCAGAATCAACACAGCCTTAAGAGTGTTGTAGCCTTCAGAATCTGCCTAAATGAGGAAACAGATTTGTCCAAACTCTATGGCTGGTATGAGGGCTAAGTGGCATTCAAACCCAATAATTCACATTCAATGCCTAGGATTCTCTCTCCATTATACCACAATACCATCCTACACAGTTAATCATCTTGGCTTCTTTTATGACTATAAAATACATATCAAGTAGAAATTTGGAAAAAGAATGATAGATTCAGAATGCACTCATTTATTCAACATATATTATTTCTACTATGTGAAATGCACTATTATAGTTGCTGAGGCTAAAGCAGCAAACCAAACAATATCCTTGATCTCATGGATATCTCATTGGAGTAAGGGAAGCAGCTATTTATATCCATAAGCCAGACTTGTGAATATATATGCAAACTAAGAAGACAGAGGAGGTTCTACTTAAATAGGTTTTATAGTAAAGACCTATCTGAGAATATGATAATTCAGCACAGAGCTGAAGAATATTAAGAAGCCAGCCATGCAAATACCCAGGCCGTGGGAATGACTAGTGCTAAGGAGCTGAGAGAGCGATACTCTTGATGGATGCACTTGAGAGGCAACAGGAGGTCAGTGTACTGGAACTTGCTAAGTCAGTAGGAGAGTGAAAGAACTGAAGCCGGGTTCAAATCATGTAGGATATTGCACACCCCTATAAGGAAACTGGATTGTATTGAGTCTAAGGGGAAATCCCTGGTGGGTTAAAAACAGCCATAGTATGCATGCTATGAATTTATATTTTAAAAATACTTTTGCTCTGATTGAAATAAAATAACCCCCTTTTTTCCCTTCTGATTCTCAAGTACAATAAAAAGTGCAGAACATTTCTATAATGAGTACTATTTATTAAGCACTTACCATGCTCTTGGCTCTGACCTAAGTATTTTATACTGATTATCTAATTTAATCCTTATAAAAATATTGTGATGTAGGGAGTATATTTACCCTCTGAGGATGAAGAAAGACAATTTCCTATAAGTTTACATGAGTAATAAAGAGGAGATTTGAAACTTGGATGAAGCCTTAAATTTAAAGTCAAACTTTGACAACTATACCCAAATCATTTATACTGATAATTAGCACCTATGATCTCACATGTATCATGATAATAATATAATTTTGGTATTTAGCCAGGTGAAATAATGTATAAGTTGCCTTCATTTCTGCTGAGCTGTGGAATCTTAAATAACTTAATAAGGCACTGAAATGATGCAGCAGCTTCAAAGATGAAGATTTGGTATTTCTAAGTGCAATTTTCCCCAGAATTTATCTCTCGCTTATTCTCTTCTGGCCCACACAGTTTGTCTTCTGAGATAGTATCAAATCACCAACAAGCAGCAATTATGCTCTCACTTGGTTGCTCATAGGTAAATGAGCTCTGGATGTATGTTTACCTGGTGGGGTGAGGACAATGAATCAAGAAAACTGACCCAGTCTCACCCTCACACTATCAGAGCATAACCAACCAAGCATAACAGGGAGGCTCTACTTGTGACCTCCTTTAGAAAAACCAATCACAGTTCAAAATCTCTCAGAATAGATCATATATAAAAGACAACATAAGCACAGATACAAATAGCTACAAATAAGTTCTGTTTGAACCTAGTACAAAATGTAGAAGGTCGTTGCTGAGAATTATCGGAGAACATGGAAATAATTTTAACCTCTTGAAAGAGTGCTAACCATATAAATGTGATATAAGTGGTTAGTTTTAAAGAAAATATTGTCTCTCTTTCCTGATGTTAGTACCAAAAAAGAATTAACCTGTAGTATATGATGGTACGAAGTCCATCAGCCATGGGTTACTTATCTGCATGAATGTTCAACTTCATGAATTAAATATATTCTTAGATGAGATTTGTACAACTATTCAATGAGTTTAATGAGCACACAAACCCTGAAGACATTAGATAACAACTAGCAACATTAATTGGAACTTAAGTGAACTGTCTTTTGCCAAGAGCACAGTATTCTTAAATGGTCACGAGCCTGGCTGCCTCTCAAGCAACTTCTCTTCCATTTTTCAAGCCAGTAGTACACATACATCCCTATGTTCTTTATATTGCACTTTCATTTTCTGAAAGATCCTCGCAGGGACAATTAATAATGAAGGTTAATAAATAATACTAGTATTGTGAAAGTGAATATTACAAATATAAAGACTGCATTGCCTTGCAAATCTTGACAGGCAGGGGAAATGCCAGAGATTGATTAAAAACAAACAAAAAAAGTAATAGAGAAGTTCTTTCAAACTTTCAAATTTCAAATAAATTTTCAAATTTAAGTCTCAGGTCATCTACATATTCATATATGCACATAGGTATTCTGTCTAATGCAATGAAGACCATTAATTATATGTTGATAGTCACCTTTCTGTGGATTTAAAACAATTTTATTCAAATGAGCATCCCCTGTACCATCTCAGGCATCAATTCCGCCATTTGTCAAATTGTGTTCACAAAATCCATGTAAACTTTTTCACTAGCCCAATCAAATTTCCTCCTGAAGATCCATCTAATGTAGTGCATATTGAACAGGAAATGTGTTAATGCATTCATAGCAAGTTGGAATTATTTTTGGAACACTCATGACCCATTTTCTCCTGACTAATGTATTGATTTTCTGGGACTGCCATAACAAATTATCACAAATTGGGTGGCTTAAAAGTACAGAAATGTATTCTCTCACAGTTCTGGAGGCTAGCAATCAGAAACCAATGTGTCGGCAGGGTTGGTTCCTTCTGAAGTTTCTGAGAGACATTCCTTTTATACTTCTCTCCTAGTTTTCTGGAGACTGCCAACATGCTTGGTGTTCTATGGCTTATGGCTGCATATCTAATCTTTGTTTCCCCTTTTATATAGTTTCTCCCTCTATTTCTCCTCTTCACTCTGTATTCACTTTTCATAGGGACATTTGTCATTAGATTTAGGGCCAACCTAGTTAATTCAGGATGACCTCATCTTGAAATCCTTAACTAATTATACCTGCAAAGAACCTTTGTCCAAGTACAGTCACATTCGCATTCACAGATACAAGGGGTTAGAACTCAGACATAAGTTTTGAGAGACCACAATTAAATGCACTGTAATTAACAGAGTAACATCATTATAACTGATATACCAGCTCTAGGTAATTTCCTTTTAATAGTCTGTTCAAAGATTAGGAGGAAAACAAAAAAACCTCTTGCATTGAATGTTATGTGATACACAATGGTTTTATGACTACTTATGACAGTTATGTTGGGATAAAAGCACTTTTCCAGCAGTGGCAAATTTCTTTTGACATGTTCTATAAGAAATAGCTGTATGTTTTATTTTGTTTATATATATATATATATATAATATATATATATATATATAGAGAGAGAGAGAGAGAGATGTGTCTAAATCTGCTAGTGTAATTTTTGTTGTTGTGCAAAAACATCTGTCAAAGTATCTGTAATCACCCAGAATATGTTTTTTGAAAGAAAAGAAGAATATGAACAAGGAATAACAACATAACCATGCCCAAGGATAACAATACATTATTGCTAAGCTGGAAATATGAATAGAAATGAAAATAATCAATGGTTTCCAGTAATCAGAGAATTCATTAGAGAAAGACAAACAGTAAGCCAAAAACATCTTTGTATTGGATACTTTTTGCAGTGGATATTTATTTTGTACCACTTTAAATCCTAGTGGCCTCACCTCTTATTCTATCCATTGCTCTGGCAACTAGCTTACATACGCTTAGACAATTTTGGAGCCAGTGCATGCCCACTTCCTGCCTAGGGGTCCCTTTGATGTTCTGACTGATGGGTACCTCTGGGAATGATGTCAGCAATCACTTATGAACAAGCTGGAATTGCTAGACAGTTAATGCTCCATGGGGCCGTGCTTGACCAATGGGGAACAGGAATCATGTAATAAAACTTTCTCCCCTTTTTTCATTGAGGAGATATTTCTGAGACACATTTTAAAAGCCCTCTAGAAATCTTCCAAGTCAAGCAACACATTGACTATAGCTGTGGCCAACTTGAAAACATAGCTTTGTATTGGCTCTTTCACTTCCCTAATCTCAGTCTTTTTCCCTGGCATCAAATTCTCAAATTTCTTAACAATAACTTTGACTCAGGTTTTGCATTCAGGGAAACCCAGACTAAGACACTTACATTTATCTTTTTATGTAGCTTATGAAATGAGTTACATTACTTTAAAATCACTACCTGGTTATATATTAAAACAAACCTAGATTTTCAAAATAATCAGCTTTTTTAGAAACCCATGTGCATAGATTTAAATAATAAAGTTTTATTCTAGCTCAATTTTGCCACAGAATATTTCATAAAAAGTGGCTATACTGTGCTATGTGAACAGAAGTTGTTCTAAGAAATTCAAGTTAAAATAATTAAAATATCCTTTTAATTAAATGCTTACTCTCTTCTTTATCCAATTTTATATTGTTTGATTAGTTACATTAGTTTTTGTGTTATACATTTACTCTTGGATGACAGGAAAAGGAAATAAAATATGATAACAACTGTTATATTTTATAGTGTGAGAAAGTCTATTTATATCATAGTGATTCAATAAATATTTTGTAGTAGGTATTGTGCTAGGTATTGAGAGTGCAATGGTAAGAACGATACAGTTCCTGCTCTTAAGAAACAGTGTTGTACTGCAATCAATCAAGTAAACAAGACTCTATGAGTGCATGTGACTGTCAGCTAAACAGGATTTAGTGGTACGATGACTATTTGATACAAACCATAGCCTTTAAACTGAGAGGTGAAAGTTCTGATGAACTTAGTATTTTAAAAAATCAGTAACAGGTTAAAGTAAATAATTTTCTTCTTAAAAACTTGCAGCCGGGCGTGGTGGCTCATGCCTGTAGTCCCAGCCCTTTGGGAGGCCGAGGTGGGTGGATCACCTGAGGTCAGGAGTTCAAGACCACCCTGGCCAACATGGTGAAACCCATCTCTACTAAAAATACAAAAATTAGGTGGGTGTGGTGGCGGACATCTGTAATCCCAGCTACTCAAGAGGCTGAGGCAGGAGAATGGCATGAACCCGGGAGGTAGAGGTTGTAGTGAATCGAGATCATGTCACTGCACTCCAGCCTGGGCAACACAGCAAGACGCCGTTCAAAAAAAAAAAAAAAAAACAACTTTCAACATACTCAAAGATAAGGTACTTAACCTGAGCTTTTAATTGTATTGAATTAAAAGGCTTAGGCATGGATTTTAAGAAAGATCACGGTCAGATTTCTTGTGTAAATCAGAGCCCAGTAGGAGAGATAAGACTTTGCATATTTAATTCTTTTTGGGTTGATTTTTTTTTCTAATTCTTTAATTCTTTCTTCTTGCTTAATTACTTTTTTTGGCAACTTCTAACATTTAATTTCAAAAAGGATTATGCTTAGTAAAGTCTATCAGCACAGAATATGATCTGAAGTTTAAAAACACCCATTAACTTCCCTACATTTCATTGCTTATGAAGACTTTTCCCCATTTTTTTCATTTTCTGTTTTATAATAACCTTATTACTTTTACCATGTAGTCATTTTGCTGCATAAAATTTAACTAATTCCCATCATAATTGAGTATATTTTTTCCCTTATGAGCTTGATATATATTTAATCTTTTATTTAAAATAATTATTAGAACGGTTTTGTTTTTCTAAGATTTTCACATTTTCTAATTTGAAAATTGATATCTCCTTGATATTTCTTCTGTAGTACTATAATTTTAAAGAAACTTGTATCTTTTAACAGGTCTATGCATATCCACAGGATGAGAATAGAAGCTTGAATACTTCTGGTCTTTCTCTTATGGACAAGGGAAAAGGAAAAGCTAATTTAATTGTTAACATCCTATGATTAAGCCTCAGTGGCAGAAAACTACTTCCTCTTTGACCTACCAATGCTCACATTTTCCTCTGGTCTTTGTCTAGCATTCTGTCTGTGTCTCTTTCTCCTTTTCCTTTCTCCCTTTTTCCTTTCCTCACTCCCTCCTAGCTTCTTTGACCAGAAGCAAGAAATCAAGTCAGCCTTTGCTACAAGCTGTCTCCCTGTTAATGTCAGAAGAAGTAAAATTTACAAGTTTGACTCCAGGCCTAAGCCATGTTCTACAAGTCAATTTTTCTCCAGACAAATCTGCATTGGGATATATTAAGCAAGTTTTTATCCTATGTAGCTTCAGTTTTTTGAATATATTCTTTATTTGACAGAAATCTAAAGAGGATAAGACATAGGCCCTCAATATCTAATACAGTATGATTAAAAAAGTAGTTTCATTAATTTGAGAAAAGTAACCTGCAGTGAATAAAAAACTTTTTTTTGAATGTTTCTTCCATGCCTATACCTGTGCTATGCATAGTGGAATTAGCAAAACTTATGACATAATCCAAAACCTGAGGTTTATAATCCCATTTGTAAAGTCAAGGCATACACCACTGGAATGACAAAAGAATATGAAGGTTGATGCTGAACTGGAATTAGGGGAAGTTTCTCACTACAGTGAAGTTTCTGCTGGGCCTTGGAAAAAAAAATCTTGATGTGTAAAAGGATAATTAGGTTGGAAAACTGGCACGACTTTCGTTTAAAATGCAAATGAACTTTCTCTTTCAAAAGAAAGTTTGACTTTGAAATATTAAGTATGTAAGATATCACAAAAAGAAATATATGAAATATTATTGGCCTTTTCCATTGGCTAACACTTAATTGACTCTTTGGGGAAAATATTTTAAGTTAATGTTAAGAAGTCAACTCCACTATTTTTGCATGCATCAGACATTTCCAATCAAATGACATTAATTAATCATGAACTTGTTAAAATTATTCTAGAAATGTAATATAGTACAGAATATTCTTTAAGAATGTTAATTGTGCAATATCTTAAAGAAAATTAAGGATAGAAAAGTCTCACCATTTAATGTTTTCTCTAGTGAAAAGCAAATATGAAATTATTACCTAATTTTCTGGGTCACTGTATAATCTATCTGTCTCTAAAGATCAGTTATTTATATTGAGGAAATAAATATTTTTTATCTCAAAAATAATAATCAACATGGATTAAGTGGTAGAAAAAGTTCTATTAATATTTCCCCTGTGTTATAAGACATTGTGTGATAACTAAAAGTAGGTTGTATGAACCCCACCTGAATTAATACAAGATTAGGCCAAATAATTGCTTTCCTGTTTGTCAATTTTCTTTATTAGAAGAGTATTTGGGGTCACAAAGGAATTTAAAAAACGAAGAGTACAAGTTACTCTTCTTTTCAAGGATAAATTGGCTTTGCTGAATGTTTTCATACAAGAGCAAATGTTCTTCATTATTTCTCTTAATATATAAATTTTTTCTAGCATTTTGGAGGTCTTTGACTTTGGCGACACATTAAAATCACATGGAGAGATTGTAAATTGAATATCCAAGGTGCACCCTAGACCAATTAAATCAGGATCTCTGCACGTAGGACCAAGGCATCACTACTTTTTGAAGTTCCCCAGTGAGTCTAATATGCATCCAAATTTGAAGACTACTCCTTTGCGAATACAAGGCCTCCCTCGCTGACCAGTATTTTAGGACAGGAGTTCTCAACAGTGTCTCTTAGCGTGTTTTTAATATTATAGATGCTTTTCGATCTTACCCTAAAATAGCACATAAACATTTTATACATATGTGGGATAACCATTAAAAATAAGTATAAACCAATCACTCTTCTAGAGATACATATAAAAAAGGTCATCTCCTCTCAATGGAAACAAAGATTTTCTGTATTATTGAGAAGCAATTTACATAGTTTAATTTCTTGTATGCGCTGAGGACACTGTTTTCTCTAAGCCACCTACATCAGAGATTGGTTTTCCTCCCCTAAATCTGTGAACCTTCAAAGGTGGAAATACACTAATGTGGTTACAAAAGTGGGCTTCACTGTGAGATACACCTTGATTAGTATGACCTTCATATTCCCTTCAGCATGCCTAAACTTTAGACAAATTTCTTTCTGTTGGCTCTGACCTTCTTTTTTCTTAGAGCATTTACTTTAGAAAACACAATTGTCCATTCTTTCTTTGCCCTTTTGTAATATATGTAAATCTTCTCCCAGACTCTTGACTGTCTTAGAACCACAGAAACGTCTTTTTCGAGGGCCTGGTACTCATTTTCCTGAAATAAAAAACAATTGAACAAGACAGCACCCCTGTTTCCCAGTCTCTGTGGGAGGATAGGAGCCTAATTTCTTTGGGCACCAATTAGCAAATGGAGATCACAGAGAAAAATATTTGCAACTCAGGAACAACTAAATATGCTCAACACATCCCATTTTTCTACCTCTGCCTCCCTTCCCTAAATATCTCCAGTACTTTTCCACTATTTCATCCCAGCATTTAAAATGCTCCTACTTTTTTTGCCAGGGAAGTTTAGTCTCTCGCCCTTATTGCAATAGTCTTAAACAAAGTCTTTCTTGCCTGTTGAACTTTGTTCAGTGCAATTTTTACTTTGATAACCCGCATTTCATACCTACCCTGTCACTTACTAGTAGTGAGACCAATGAGCAAAGTGTTTCAACTCTCTAAACCTTCTCCAGTAAAAAAAAAAAAAAAATACTCGTCACCTCATAGGACTGTTCTGAGAATAAATTGTATAAATTAATGTTCTTAACAGTTTGGTTAAGGTCATGGAATCCTCACAATCCAAGGCAAGTAAAGGCAAGAAGATTCAAAATCTGGGTGTTATTTTCAGAAGAAGAAAAATGAAGCATTGGCAGACAAAAATAGCGTATAATTAGCTGTTATTAATGTTTTTACTACTATATTATTATTATTACTGCCAATGGGGAGCAGTTATTTCCCCAAGCTGAATAATACCGCTCCTATCACAAGGTTTCGCTACTTTAAGTTAATCATTTAACCATATGTACAAGAGACATCATAAAGCCAACTATAAATGGCTTTCTAGCTATCTAAGGCTCTAATACATTGCAGCAAGTAGTTCAAAAATTCAAAGTGACTGAAGATCCAGTTGCATTTTTTGGTTCGATAATACATACTTGGAAATGTCCAAAGGAAACTATGTTGCACAATCATAATCTCTTTGTTCAAACATTGCTTTTGTTGTTCACTATCCATGTGTGCTTGGAAAGGTTACTTAAATACTCTTAGTTTCTTTTATTATTTTTTATTATTTTTGTTTTATTATTATTTTTTTTTTTTGAGATGGAATCTCGCTCTGTTGCCCAGGCTGGAGTGCAGTGGCGCAATCTCGGCTCACTTCAAACTCCGCCTCCCAGGTTCACACCATTCTCCTGCCTCAGCCTCCCAACTAGCTGGGACTATAGGCGCCAGCCACTACGCTCAGCTAATTTTTTGTATTTTTTATAGAGATGGGGTTTCACCGTGTTAGCCAGAATGGTCTCGATCTCCTGACCTCGTGATCCACCCGCCTTGGCCTCCCAAAGTGCTGGGATTCCAGGCATGAGACACCATGCCCGGTCAGTACTCTTAGTTTCATAGGCTCCATCTGTAAAAAAATAGTCGTAATAAATTATATGTATTAATTATATGTATACTACCTTAGTAGCTTTGGTTCTGTCTTTTTAGGAAACATTCACATTTTCCAAAAAGGTCAGATGCAAAGCCACATTCAAAAGCAAATTGTTTTAATATTTTTAGTTTAAACAATTCATAAAATCAGTCATAGGTAAATGTCTTTTGTTTAACTATTTTTTATTCTTATCTATCTTATTTTATGAAAGTCACATTATCTTTTTCTATAAATTTGAGGAGCATTAGTTGTCTATACCTTAGAAAACTTGGCAGGCTGTAGTTTCTTATTATTATTCTGCTGTGTTTTATCTCCTTGATCAACATTTCCTATTGCTTTCATCAGAATCACCGAAGTATTTGATGGTGATTTTTTCAGTTTGATAGTTTGTGTGTCTAGTCAGAAGATGAAATAAGATAATCATCAAGTTGATGGCAGACTAAAAAAAGTTATTTGTTCAAACTAAATATAGAGTAATTCAAATATTAAAAGTTTTTGTTAGAGATTTTTGTCAGTATATGATAGAACCTTCACTTTATGAATTAACCACTTATATTTTTAATTCAATAATTATTTCCTGAGTGCATATGATGTGCTTGAAACTAGGCAAAGCATAGTTCTTATAAACCCCACAGTGCTTGTTAACTAATGGGAGGCAGAGAGTAGAGGGAAATAAAGCACAGGTAATTATTTAATTGCAATTGAAATAAATAATATAGGGATCTACCTTAGAATTCAGTGAGAGTATTTTTAAAAATCCCTAAACAATTAAGCATAGCACAAAGACTTCTTTGAGGAAATTATACTTAAATTTCAGAGCTAGGTAATTACAGTCACACATGCACACACACAGATGCACACAAACACACGCACTGGTATATTTCTTTGATTTTTAAGTTTAAATGCGTATTGAGTTGCCATGTTCTTTCAAGTGAGAGAGGCTCTAAGAGGTATTTTAAAAATATTCCTGTACTCAAGGAATGTATTATCTAATCAAAAAATAAAGAAAGCCTATTTGAGACATACATCATTGACATACATAATTTCAAAACAGTGTGTTACTAGGTGTCAAAATATTTAATAGTATGGGCAAGAAGTGTAGTTCATTCCAGAAAAGGGACAATAACAATCTTATGGTGTGAATGGAAGAGAAAGTAGTTGTGGAGAATCAACTGGATGTTCATTACTGGTCAAAATGAAAAGGGATAGAGTTCCCTTATCTCCCACAAAAGGCATGCAACAGGGGTGTGGCTCACTCTTTTGGGGCCCTACTGCTGGAACTCCTAGGGGGAGCATGTAGACGGGCAGGTGCAGAGGCTGTGGGGAGTGCTTTTTGGGCTCCAGCCCCATGTCAGCATCTAGGACTCCTGAAGTCCAAATGGGCGTGTGTTACAGTGTGGTCTTTCAACTACATCATCTACAGACGGCTTGTGTTAACTCAATAGACCCTCTGCCTTATCGCAAGGACTGGGGACCAGTGTGACAGTCGATTTCTCGCCCAGCGTACTGGAAGAAGCAGATCACACGTGGGCTGGAAGGTTGAGTGCAAGGTTTGATCGAGTGGTGGAGGTGGTTCTCAGCGAGATGGATGGAAAACCAAAAGGGGGGATGGAGTGGAAAGGTGGTATTCCCCTGGAGTCAGGCCGCCCAGTGGCCTGACTCTTCTCTGACCGCCCCTGGCTGAACTCCCCTTGGTGTCCAGATGTTCTTCTCTGTTTCTCTCCTGTGGCAGCCCACTACTCTCCGCCGCTCTGTTCCTCCACTCCTCTTGATGTTCAGCTGTTGTGTCTGTGTCCACTAAGGTCTAGGGTTTTTATAGGCACAGGATGGGGAGAATGGCGGGCCAGAGTGGTATTGGAAAATGCCACATTTGGACAGGAAAACAGGAATGTCTGTTCTCACTTAGGTCCGTGGGCACAGGCCTGAGGGTGGAGCCCTCACCAGGGACCCTGCCCTTCTCTGCCCAGCACTTCCCTGCCCCGTTCCTGTATCAAAAAGAGAGAAAGATTTTTAGGAGGAATTATAGCTAAAGTAAAAATTTGTTTTGGAATCAGCTATAGATAAGAAATACTTCACAGGGGTTACTGATCTGAACAATTTCATTGTGAAACTTTAGAGGCATAAAATTAAGAATCAATTTATGCTTGAATAGTTGAGGCAAAACTCCACAAATTCTTAACCTGTTCTCAAATCATCATAATACATTTTGTCCTACATTATAATCAAAACAGAAGGCATCAGTAGAGAGAGATCTTGTGCGGTAAATAGATGAGATGTTAACTTTCTCAGCAATCTGTTGTTATTCTCTTTTTATAAAACCTTTAAAATGATATGTAAAAGGGGGAAAACATGCACTAGAAATGGCAAGTGCTTGTTGAAACAGCACAATGAATACTTGTTGAGTTGCCAACTTTTGCCCTTTACCAAAAGTAGCCTTTAGAAATACAAAGCTTTGAATAAATAGTGTACTCTTAGATTTCTGTAAAGTAGTTCCAAGCCTCAAATGAGAGTGAAGGTGTGTGTAAGAAGACAGAAATGCAAGGAATGACTACTGATGGAAAAGATCATTTATGTAACTAAGAAAAGCAGAGCTTCAGATGCCTTGGAATGTGAAGCTATAGTTTATCATACTACTCAGTTGAGGGAATTCTCCTTACTTGGGTGTTTTAGAATCAATTTTGTCTCTCAGTTAATATGAGAGGAATTAAATTATTGTTACAATAATCAACCTCTTTGCTTTTTCTTCTCCCACACCACATGCCCAATAAACTACCATTTCCAAAATGACATGCATTGTTGATTGCCTTTTTGTGATATAAAGCATATGACTTCACTTCAATTACAGTGAAATATTAGAAGAAAATTATAGCAGAACTATCACAGGCTCCTGTTATCACATTTACTTATCTACTTTATTTGTGTCCATAAGTGTTACCTGTCTTCCAATTATAATCATGAACTGGCAGTGCCTGGATTTTAAAGCATGTGTGTAGAAATCCATCCATTCTTACTGGTTTAAGAAGACACTCTTCTAAACATTTGCTCTCCTTTCCTAAATATTTTCCTCTTTAATTTAGCCTTCCCAAATTATACAAATATCTGACATTTAATATTTAAAAAAATTCTCTATTGATTTCACATTTCCCTGACAGCAGGTGCTCTGGTTTCCTATGATGCTTTAGAATTAAAATACTCAAATAAATCTCTGTATTCACTGTGTTCACATCCTATTCTGACATTTTATCTTGACAGTCTAAGCAGTCTAAGCAGGATTCTCTCTCCACTATTCAGTGGAAATGGCTCTCATCAAGGCTTCCAGTGACTTAGATTTCTCAAAACAGTGGTCAACTCTCAGGCATTATCTTACTCATTTGATGTCTCCTATTTTGAAATACTTTGTTACCAAGACTCCCAGGTGAGCATTCTCTTGAAATTTGTTTATGTCATTGGCCAGTTCTTCCGTCTTCTTTGTTGGTTCTTCCTACTGCTAGAAAAACAAACAAACAAACCAAAAAAACCCATTTATTTCATGCCATTTTAAATAGTATTTATATGAATACCAAACTAGAATTTAATGAGATAAATTCACACCTGGAATATAATTAAAAATATATATAAGGCATGTAAAAATAAGAAAATGCGACCCATAATGACAAGATAAATTAATCAACTGAAACTGACCTAGAACAGATTCAGACATCGGAATTAGCAGACAAGAACATTAGTACATCTATTAAAACTGTGCACCTGAGCCAGGCATGTGGCTCACACCTATAATCCCAGCACTTTGGGAAACCAAGGTGGGAGGATCACTTGAGACCAGGAGTTTGAGACAATAATTAATAGCCTACCAACCAGAAAAAAGTCCAGGACCAGATAGATTCACAGCCAAATTTTATCAGTGGTACAAAGAGGTACAATTCCTTCTGAAACTATTCCAATCAACAGAAAAAGAGGGAATCCTCCCTAATTCATTTTATGAGGCCAACATCATCCTATACCAAAGCCTGGCAGAGACACAACAAAAAAAGAGAATTTTAGACCAATATCCCTGATGAACATCGATGCAAAAATCTTCAATAAAATACTGGCACACTGAATCCAGCAGCACATCAAAAAGCTTATCCACCACAATCAAGTTGGCTTCATCTCTGGGATGCAAGGCTGGTTCAACATATGCAAATCAATAAATGTAATCCATCATATAAACAGAACCAAAGACAAAAACCACATGATTATCTCAATAGATGCAGAAAAGGTCTTCAACAAAATTCAACAGCCGTTCATGCTAAAAACTCTCAATAAACTAGGTATTGATGGGACATATCTCAAAATAATATGAGCTATTTATGACAAACCCACAGCCAATATCATACTGAATGGGTAAAAACTGGAAGCATTCACTTTGAAAACTGGCACAAGACAGGGATGCCCTCTCTCACCACACCTATTCAACATAGTGTTGGAATTTCTGGCCAGGGCAATCAGGCAAGACAGAAATAAAGGGTATTCAATTAGGAAAAGATGAAGTCAAATTGTCCCTGTTTGCAGATGACATGATTGTATATTATAAAACCTCATCGTCTCAGCCCAAAATCTCCTTAAGCTGATAAGCAACTTCAACAAAGTCTCAGGATACAAAATCAATGTGCAAAAATCACAAGCATTCCTGTACACCAATAACAGACAAACAGGGAGCCAAATCATGGGTGAACTCCCATTCACAGTTACCTCAAAGAGAATAAAATACCTAGGAATCCAACTTACAAGGGATGGGAAGGACCTCTTCAAGGAGAACAAGAAACCACTGCTAAATGAAATAAAAGAGGACACAAACAAATGGAAGAACATTCCATGCTCATGGATAGCACGAATCAATATTGTGAAAATGGCCATACTGTCCAAGGTAATTTATAGATTGAATGCCATCCCCATCAAGCTACCAATGACTTTCTTCACAGAATTGGAAAAAACTAAAGTTCATATGGAACCAAAAAAGAGCCCACATTGCCAAGACAATCCTAAGCCAAAAGAACAAACCTGGAGACATCACACTACCTGACTTCAAACTATACTAGAAGGCTATAGAGGCTATAGTAACCAAAACAGCATGGTACTGGTACCAAAACAGAGATATAGACCAATGGAACAGAATAGAGCCCTCAGAAATAATACCACACATCTACAACCATCTGATCTTTGACAAACCTGACAAAAACAAGAAATGGGAAAAGGATTCCCTATTTAATAAATGGTGCTGGGAAAACTGGCTAGCCATATGTAGAAAGCTGAAACTGGATCCCTTCCTTATATCTTATAAAAAATTAATTCAAGATGGATTAAAGACTTAAATGTTAGACCTGAAACCATAAAAACTCTAGAAAAAATCCTAGGCAATACCATTTAGGACATAGGCATGGGCAAAGACTTCATGACTAAAACACAAAAAGCAATGGCAACAAAAGCCAAAATTGACAAATGAGATCTAATTAAACTAAAGAGCTTCTGCACAGCAAAAGAAACTACCATCAGAGTGAACAGGCAACCTACAGAATGGGAGAAAATTTTTACAATCTTCCCATCTGACAAAGGGCTAATATCCAGAGACTACAAAGAACTTAAACAAACTTACAAGAAAAAATCAAACAACACCATCGAAAAGTGGGCAGAGGATATGAACAGACACTTCTCAAAAGAAGACATTTATGCAGCCAACAGACACATGAAAAAATGCTCATCATCACTGGCCATCAGAGAAATGCAAATCAGAACCAAAATGAGATACCAGCTCACGCCAGTTAGAATGGCAATCATTAAAAAGTCAGGAAACAGCAGGTGCTGGAGAGGATGTGGAGAAACAGGAACACTTTTACACTGTTGGTGGGAGTGTAAACTAGTTCAACCATTGTGGAAGACAGTGTGATGATTCCTCAAGGATCTAGAACTAGAAATACCAGTTGACCCAGCCATCCCATTACTGGGTATATACCCAAAGGATTATAAATCATGCTGCTATAAAGACACATGCACACATATGTTTCGTGTGTCACTATTCACAATAGCAAAGACTTGGAACCAACCCAAATGTCCATCAATGATAGACTGGATTAAGTAGATGTGGCACATATGCACCATGGAATACTATGCAGCCATAAAAAATGATGAGTTCATATCCTTTGTAGGGACATGGATGAAGCTAGAAACCATCATTCTGAGCAAACTATCGCAAGGACAGAAAACCAAACACCGCATGTTCTCACTCATAGCTGGGAACGGAACAATGAGAACACTTGGACACAGGGTGGGGAACATCACACAGCAGGGCCTGTTGGGGGATGGGGGCGGGGGGAGGGATAGCATTAGGAGATATACCTAATCTAAATGACGAGATAATGGGTACAGCACACCAACATGGCACATGTATACATATGTAACAAACCTGCATGTTATGCACATGTACCCTAGAACTTAAAGTATAATAATAAAAAAAAATTCAATTTCTTTCAATGCTGCTGTCTGTCATGTGATATTGTACTAGAGTCAGGTTGGAATTTGGTGTCTTATTGCTACAGGCTACTTTGCCTGTCATAAGATCTCTGTTTTAAGTTGAATGCTGGTCATTTTTGCCTAAATTCCAAAGCGAGGAGAGTATAATGAGGCATCGCTGAACCCACCTTCCCATTATGGTCTAAACTAGATTTTCAGGTTTATTTCGGAATGCCCTTGGCTGAGATGGGTGTCTATCAGTTTGTTGAAGAGTTCAAAATTTTATATTTGGTTTACAAACTGAACTCAGGTTCCGCTGCTTGCCACTTGAAAAGCCAAACAGGAGAAGCAAGGTATGGTGGAAGAAAAGCAGGTTTGTTGAAGTGCCAGTAGCTTGAGAGATGGCCAGACTCACATCTCAAGCTATCTCAAATTCAGCACCTAGCTAAAGAGTTTTTAAAAAGAGAGAGTGGCATGGAAACTATGTGCAGGAGTGGTGTGGGGTGCAGGTCTGCATCTTATTTTCTGATGGTTATCTTTAGGCATGGACTATCCAGTGGCTGGGTGGCATCATCTTGGCAGGGGCAGGGTTATGGGTTAACTGTGCATCAATTTATTCTTGGAAGGGAGAAAATTGCAACTGCCATCTCCACTTCATGTCTGGATTGTTTCAAGATTGGCCTTTGGAATTCTCAAGCAAACAAGTAGTTAGATATATGTGTGGCAAGAAACAAAGCAAGAGAAGGGCTACCTTTAGAGTAAGCTGGTAACCTGGCTATACCAGTTACACCAACTGTTTGTGAATTTAATCACATCGCTTTAAAATACAGAAAGGAAAAGCTGATAGAACCACAGTGAGAGAGAGAAAATTTCACAAAAATATTAAGAGATTTCAAAACTCCTATTTCAATAATTGTTAGAACAAGTACAAAGAAAATCAGTAAGGATATAGGCTATTTGAATATTACTGTCAACCAACTTTACTTAGTTTGTATTTCTAAAACACTTCACCCAACAATAGCAAAATACAGATTTTTTTATATGCACACAGAGCATTTACCAAAGAATTGCAAGTTTCGGTTTACGAACTACATTTTTGTAAGAATTATTTATTTATTGAAACAAGGTCTCATTCTGTCACTCAGGCTGGAGTGCAGTGGTGTGATCTTGGCTTACGGCAGCCTCCTCCTCCTGGGCTCAAGCAACACTTCCACCTTAGCCTTCCTAGTAGCTGGGACTACAGGTGCCCACCACCATGCCCAGCTAATTTTGCATGTTTTTGTAGAGGTACGGTTTCACCATGTTGCCCAGGATGTTCTCAAACTCCCGAGATCAGGCCATCTGCCCACCTTGGGCTCCCAAACTGCTGGGATCATTTTAGTAACTTTTTAAGTCTTATTATATAAGCTTATTATATGAATATAATTAAATTAAGTTAGAAATCAATATGAAAAAGAGATCTTCAAAATTTTCCAAAACATGGAAGCTAAATGGTTATTCTAAGTAATCCATGAGTCAAGAAAAACAAAAGAGAAATAAGAAACTTTATCAATAAAAATAAAAGCATGACACATTATGTTTGGGGATGCTATGATGCAGTACTTACAGAGAAATTTATAGCAATGAATTTCTATGCTAGAAATGAAGAAAGAAGCCTAACCAATTACTTTAGCTACCAATATTAGTCCTGAAAAGGAGAACAAATTAAATTCAAAGTAAGCAAAAAATAAGTAAAAAAAAATATTGGAACTGAAATCAATAGAACATAAAAAGGAATTGGATGTTTGAAAGACCAATAAAATTAATACATCTATAAAAAACTGATATAAATAAAAGACACAAATTACAAATATCATAAATGAGAAAAGTGATATCTGTACTGAATTTACAGGTATAAAGAAAATTAAGAACATATTGTGAATTAATTTATGACAAAAATTCAACAACTTAGCATGTACACATTCACTTAATATACAAACTACTTAGTTCAATCAAGAAGAAATAAATTATTTAAATAGTCTCATGTCTGTTAAAAAAAAAATTGAGTCTGTCGTTAGCTTTCCCATAAAGAAAACTCTAGGGCTAGGTAGATTTGCTGTTAAATTCTACCAAGCATTTGAGGATTAAACTCTGACTTTTAATCCTTGCTCAAATTTTTTTCCAAAGTGCCTGGGGAAAGTTATGCCTTCCAAGACATAAAATCTTATTAAACAGGTCTCTGTGATCCAGTATATTCTGACTCACTTTCCAGACTGATTCTGATATGGCATCACATAACAGATAACATACCTACTTATCTAAACATAAGCATTTCTCTCCACTGACTTCAAGTTTTTAGACAAAGCTTAACTCTTCAACCAATTGCTTACTAAAGAATCCCTAAACTCACCTATGACTTGTAAGCCTCTGCTTTGAGATGTCCTGCCTTTTGGGGCCAAATCAGTATATTCCTCCCATGCATCGATTTATGATTTTACCTATATTTTCTATCTCCCTGAAATGTGCAAAATCAAACTATAACCCAACCACATGGGAGCTCTTCCTCAGGACCTCTTGAGACTGTTTCCCTGGGCTGTGGTCATTCATGTTGGCTCAGAATAGACCTTTTAAAATATTTTGACAGAATTTGGGTTTTGCATCAACAGTTTTAACATTAAAAAAATAAAATCAATCAAGAAACATAATTTTAGCTATATCATGTGTACAATTTGGAAGTTGTCATTCTCATACTTACAACTAGAAAAAATAAAAATTAAAAATAAATTACTTCAGTGCAATTCATCAGGGAACTTTGGTCTCAGGCAACCTGCCACTCTGACATCTAGAGAGCAAAGCAAATGAGAGAAATACAACTGAGATCGGTTTGAGCAGAGGCTAGTGGAAGTACAAGCTAGTAAACACTTTAATGATAATTTTGATAAATATATTTGGAGTAAGGAGATACTTTCCTGGATTGTACCCCCAGGAAACCCACCAGGCTCTCTCAGTAAAGAGCAAAAAGTAAAAAAAGAAAGAAAAAAAAAGAGAAAGCAAAATCCTCACATTATTGACAGAAAGGAGAAAGAACCATTTACAAATATGAACAACGAATTCTCCATGAAAAGATTTCTGTCCAAGGGAAATTTATCAAGCTTTACCTGACCTCAAAGAAGCGCAATTATTTAATTCTAGCCCCTTGTCATCTTCCCGTATCATGATGGGGCTCAGAAAACAATACACCAAAATGAAGGCCTTGGAAGCAGTATCAGAAGCACTTTTATTCAACATTACACTAGAGATTCTAGTCAGTGCAATAGGGCAAGAAAACGAGTTAAAAGGTATCCATATTGAAAAGAAAAGCTGTCTTTATTTACGATAGAAATAAATGAAGATTATAGATTCTGTGAGATTTTCAACATATATAAAGACAGTATCACTGTCATCTCATGGAATTTATTATAGTCCATTTGAGCTGCTGTGACATAATACCACAGACTAGGTAATTAAACAACAGAAATTTATTTTCTCACAGTTTTAGAAGTTGAGAAGTCCAAGATCAAGGTACTGCAGGTTCATTGTTGCGTAAGGGGTACTCTCTGCTTCCAGGATGGTGCCTTGTTGCTGAATCCTCATATGATAAAAGTTGGAAGTCCAAAAAGGGGCAAAGAATGTGTGAAGTCTCCTTCAAACTGTTGGTTTCAGGATTGAGTTTCAACATGAATTTTGAAGGGGACACAGTCATATCATAGCAGTATCCTTGATATGATGTGATAAAGTGGCAACTTACCTCTGTGATTTCTTCTTAAAAACATATAAGGTAAGCATAATCATGAGGAAAACATTAGAAAAGATTCCTTTAGTGAGGCATCCTACAATATACCTGACTAGTACTTCTTAAACTGTTCAGTTTATGAAAAACAAGGACATTCTGAGCAACCATCACAGCCATAAGGAGCCAAACTATGAACTCCCAATAACTAAATGACAATAAATATAAATGTAAAGATGGGATTCTGGAACAGATAAAGGACATTAGGCAAAAACTAAAAAAATTGGAATGAACTATGGACTTCAGTGAATAATATTAATACATCAATATTAGTTTAGTAATTATATACACTATGTGTATAATTTATTCTTAAAGTTAATTGAATTTAGAAGTAAAGGAGAGATTTCTGTAATTATAAAAATTTTATAAATACAGTTTACTATATTAATATATTAAAAAACATTATTATCTTAATAGACAAAAATGTATTTGAAAAACTCAGCATCCATTTATGATTTTTAAAAAAATTATCAGCAAACCAAGAGTACAAAGAAATAACTTCCTGTCTTTAAACAGGATCTACTGGCCAGGCATGGTGGCTCATGCCTGTAATCCCAGCACTTTGGGAGGCCAAGGTGGGTGGATCACCTGAGGTCAGGAGTTTGAGATCAGCCTGCCCAACATAGCAAAACATTGTCTCTACTAAAAATACAAAAAATAAGCCGGTTGTGGTAGTGGGCACCTGTAATCCCAGCTACTCTGGAGGCTGAGGCAGGAGAATCACTTGAACCCTAGAGGTGTGGGTTGCAGTGAGCAGAGATCACGCCACTGTACCCCAGCCTGGATCACAAGAGCAAAACTCCATCTCAAAAAAAAGAAAAAAAAAAACAAAAACCAGCGTCTATAAAAAACAATTGAACAAACAAAAGAAGCAACTCATTAACATACTTAATGGTGACAAGCCAAATGCTTTCCTTCTAAGGTCAAGAACAGCGCAAATATGTCTTCACTCACCATCTTAATTCAACATTACACTGTAGATTCTAGTAAGTGCAATAAGACCAAAAAAAAAAAAAAAATTAAAAGGTATCCATATTGAAATGGAAAACTGTCTTTATTTATGATAGAAATAAATGAAGATTGTAGATTCCAAGAGATTTTCTACATAAATAAAGACAGTATCACTGTCATCTCATGGGATCTTCAAAGAAACTACAAAAAAAGAGTACTTGAACTAATATATTAGTTTAGCAAGGTTGTAGGATACAAGATCAGTATACAAAAATTCATTTAATATCTGCATACTGGTAACAATTTGAACTTGAAATAAAAGAAATAGTAATGAAAACACAGCACTTCGGCTATGAAAATATGTTGATGGCAAATAAGCACATAAAAAGATGCTCAAGATCATTAGCCACTATGGAAATGCAAATTAAAACCACAATGAGATATCATTATACACATATTATGAAGGCTTAGTTTGACGATACCAAGTATTGGTGAGAATGTGGAGTTACTATAACTCTCATAAGCTTCTGCTAGAAATGTAAAATAGTACAAACACTTTGGGAAAAGTTTGAATTTTTCTTTCAGAAAATTAAACATATGCCTACCATATTATTCAGTGATTCCATTCCTAGGCATTTACAGACATAACTGAGAGTATGTGTCCATACAAAGGCTTTCACACATATTCATGGCAGTTGCCTCTGTAATAGCCAAAACATAGATGCAACTTAAATGTCTGTCATGAGATAAGTAGATAAGAAAGCTGTGGTATGTCTGTAAATGGAACACTATTCAGCAATAAAAAAGATTGAAATATTGATACACATTATAACATGTATGAATGTCAAAATAATTATGCTAAGTAAAATAAATTAGGCAAAACTACATAAATTCTAGAAAATACAAACCAATCCATGGTTGCTTCAGAATAGGGTGGGATATAGAGTCATTACAGATTACAAAGTGGCACAAGGGAAGTATGGGGAATAGTGGATATGTTAATTACTATAATATGTGTATGTTGAGGGTTTTGAAAGTTTTATATGTATGTGTGGGCATAAAAATCAAATTGTGCAATTTAAATATAAAAATATTTAAGCTTTAACAATAAGATTCAAAGAGTAGAGATAAAGTGAGTAAAATCACTTTTTCTGCAGACAAAATTAATTGAGGAGACCGAAGACAAATCTCATGTAAGCAATTTTATTGAATAAGTGGCAAATTCCACTCTCAAGATAGATTCCCAGCCTTGGAGAGGCTGTATCCTTGATTCTATCTCTGTGTTCCACAAATGACCTTTTAAATGACAGAATATTCATCACCTTTAAACCTGTCCTGCAATTTAGTTCTAGATGAAAATTAACCTGGCTAATATAATTATCATTTATGGGTTATTAATTAACTCTGCAGAGACCATGTGCTCATGTCAAAAGGCTTCCTTTAAAATATGCAGAAGCATTAGATATAAAAATCAAAAAGATCCTAGCAGCAGATTCATTTGCTTAGCATAGTTTTCTGGAAGTGGATATCATCTCTTCCTTTGAATTGATTTTCCATCTGTGTTCAAACAACTTAAGAATTCAGAATGTACTTGTGGAGCCTTAAGGGGGTTGGGAGAGTGATAAATACAACAGTGGCAACAATTATACCAGACTTGCATGAGGTAAATAATGAAAGAATAATTACAATACAGAGAATCTTTAAACATAAGTATAAATACATCTGAAAATTAACTGTATGCCTATTATAATAAATGTAGGCATACTTTGGAGATATTGTAGGTTTGCTTCCAGACCACCACAATAAATTGAATATCACAATAGAGTGAGGCAAAATTTTGTCCTGGTGCATATAAAAGTATGTGTGCACTATATAGTGGTCTATAAAGTGTGTAATAACATTATGTATGAAAACACAATGTACCTATCTTAATTAAAAATGTATTATTGCTAAAATATGCTAAAGATCACCTGAGTCTTCAGAAAGTCTTAACCTTTTTACTGGAGCTTCTGACTGATTAGGATGGTGGCAGCTGAAGTTTGGGATGGCTATGGCAATTTTTTAAAATAAGAAAGCAATGAAGTTTGCTGTAGCAATTGATTCTTTCATGAAATATTTCTATGTAGCATGCAACGCTATTTGGTAGAATTTTACCCACAGTCACACTTCTTTCAAAATTGGAGTCAATCCTCTCAATGCCTGAAGTAGCTTCATCAGCTAAATCTATTTAATATTCTAAATTCTTTGTTGTCATTTCAACAGTGTTCATGACATCTTCACCAGGAGTCAAGAAACCACTTTCTTTGCTTATTCCTTAGAAGGAACTCCTCTTTCATTAAAATATTATCATCAGACTGCAGTGATTCAGTCACATCTTCAGGCCCCACTTCTAATTCTAATTATCTTGCTATTTCTACAACAACTGCAGTTTCTTTGTCCACTGTAGTCTTGAATCCCTCATAGTCATCCGTGAGGGTTGAAATCAATTTCTTCCTAACTTCCATTAATGTTTATATTTTGACCTCCTTTCATGAAATGCTCTTAATGGCATCTAAAATGGTAAATTCTTTCCAGAAGGTTTTCAATACTTTACCAGATCCATCCAAGGAATCCTATCTGTGGCAGCTATACTCTTATAAATTGTATTTCTTAAATAATAATGCTTGAAAGTTGAAATTACTCCTTGATCCATGTTTCATTAGGAGGCATGAAAACAACATTAATATCCTTGTACATCTCCATCAGAGCTTTTTGGTGACAAATTGCATTGTCAATGAGCAGTCATATTTTGAAATAAATATTTTTATTTCTGAGCATTAGGTCTCAAACATGGGCTTAAAATACTCAGAAAACTGTACTATAGACAGATGTGCTCTCATCCAGGCTTAGGTGTTGCATTTATAGAACACCAGCATAGCAAATTTAGTATAATTCTTAAGGGCTATAGGATCGTCTGGGTGGTTACTGAACCGTGGTTTCAATTTAAAGTCATTTATTTTGATTTAACCTGAGAGCTGTGTTACTCTCTTTCCCTTGAACACTTAGAGGTCATTGTAGGGTTATTAATTAACCTGATTTCAATATTGTTGTCTTCAGGCAATTAAGGAGGCCTGAGGAGAGGAAAAGAGATATGTGAACCACTGGCTGATGGAGTAATCAGAGTGCATACATCTTTTTTTAAAGTACGCCTTGTTATATGGGTGTAGTTATGGCACCCCAAAACAATTACAATAGTAACATCAATGATCATTGATTACAGATCACCATAACAGATATAATAATAATTAAAAAGTTTAAAATGTGAGAATTACCAAAATATGACACAGACATGAAGTGAGGACATGCTGTTGGAAAAAATGGTACTGAGAGAGTTGCTCCATGATGGGTTGCCATAAACCTTCAATGTTTTAAAAAATGCAGCATCTGCAAAGTACTGCAAAGTGAAGTACAATAAAATGAGCTATGCCTCTACTAATATAAGTGGCTTTTAAAATGTGAAATAGTAATTTTTGCTAAACCACATAGTAGAGCCATAGCATAATTACCTCAGTGGATTGTCTTGTTAGACTTCAGATTAATTTTGGATATTTTTATTTTCCCCTGTAAAAGAAGTTTCCAACTTACCTTATTAAGTCATTTATGGGGCAGGAAGACTGAGAGGGGTCGATGTGTGAGAAATGGTACTTCCTCTCTTACAACCTAAGCACATCAGTAAAATGTTTTTGAGATACAGGTAATTTACCTTGAAAATTTAGATATCAAAGTGTTTATGCACATTGCAATATCAACAATTATGCCTGTATTTTCTTCCACTGTTGAGTGGTTAAAAAATAAAATCTGACAAAGAAAAAAGTGAGTGGAATAAAAATTCCCCACTGTCGAAAATGAGAATTATACTAGTACATTTGTCAAGAGTTTTTCTATTATATCAGTGCCCAGCATTAAACTATTGGTAAAAATGAGGCCAGGCACGGTGGCTCACTCCTGTAATCCCAACACTTTGGGAGGCCGAGGTAGGTGTATCACTTGAGGTCATGAGTTCGAGACCAGCCTGGCCAACATGGTGAAACCCCGTCTCTACTAAAAATACAAAAATTAGTCTGGTGTGGTGGCGTGCACCTGTAGTCACAGCTATGCAGGTGGCTGAGACAGGAGAATCGCTTGAACCCAGGAGGCAGAGGTTACAGTGAGCCGAGATCGCACCACTGCCCTCCAGCCTGGGAGACAGAATGAGACTACGTCTCAAAAAAAAAAAGAAAACTATTGGTAAAAATGATGAGAGTTTAGTTAAACTGTATTAAGTCTGTTGTTAAATGTGTTATGCATTCTACAAAATATGAAGATCTATCTGAACACTATTTTATAACCATCTTGCAATGATTAACCTATTGCATGAATATAAACCTCAGTAAATGTTAAAGAACTAGCCCAGATAAAAGGAGCATTTGAAATGACTAAGTTCTTCAACAAGTAAAAAATGTTATATTTTTACAAAAAGTTTTAAATTATTTGATTAGCAGCTACTAATAATTGAAGCTATATGCACTCTGCATAAAAAATTCTAACTTAAAAAATGAGTTAAATTATCTCAAAACCTGCTGTGTTCATTCATTTTTTAGTAATGCAGAATCCCTGTAACTGCTAAATGTCTGTTTTAACTTCTCATATATTGCACTTCTGTGATGAGAATAATTAAGATATATGCTTTTTAAAAAGCATTCTATCACTTATGCATTTACTCTGTCAAACGTTTTTAAAAATTTAAATGCCAAAAAAAGAAAAGTGGTATTTTTCTCTTAGATTGTATGTCCACTTACCTTATAATTAAGGGCTCTCACAGTGCTGAAGTATAGTAGTGTATGTAGTTGAATACAGAAGGCATTT
This sequence comes from Homo sapiens, assembly GCF_000001405.40. NCBI lineage: Eukaryota > Metazoa > Chordata > Mammalia > Primates > Hominidae > Homo > Homo sapiens. The sequence continues at coordinate 53,741,481 of NC_000010.11, forward strand.
ACAGCTGAATAGCTGCAGAGAAAAAGGGGAAAATGGGAATCATGGGCAAAACCAGATTAACATAGATAATAACAGATTTTTTATGCCAAATGGTATTCTCAAAATTGGTACCTTTATGACTTTGCTGGTATTAAAATTTAAATTCTTACAAGAAGATAATTTACCTTGAATCAAATTTACCTATAAAACAATGACATTTGTAGCAAATTCTGTTAATTCTGAGAAATAAAAAGAATTTTTCTACTTCATGTCAAGATAATTTCAAATAACTTGTAGCTAGAGTTTTGCAAAGGAAAATTTTGCTATGTAAAAATGTTGCCTTAATTTCATAATCTAAGTCAAAATGTGTGCTTCTTTATCACTAAACAACAGGGACTAATTATGGAAATTTTCAGTGAGGTTGAAAACTTTTATGATTTTATTCTATTTGTATTAAGAGCAAGGATACCTGATACAATGCTTTACTTTTCTTGGAAAGCATGAGGACTCTAGCCTTGAGCAGCTCCTTTATAAATGTTACCTATTGACTGCTCAGTGAGCACCCATATGCAGATGCTCCTTGACTTACAAGGGGCTTACGTCCTGATAAATTAAATTTTCACCTTAACTTTAAAATACTGTTAAGTTTAAAAATGCATTTAATACAAACTTATCCTAGCCTACCTTAAACATGCTCAGAATACTTACATTAGCCTACAGTTGGACAAATGTATAATACAAAGTCTATTTTACAATAAAGTGTTGAATAGCTCACGTAATTTATTGAATACTGTACTGAAAGTGAAGAACAGAATGGTTGTATGGGCACTCGAAGTAAGGTTTCTACATAATGTGCATGGCTTTCACATTATTATAAAGTTAAAATAATTCAAAACATTGAAAGTTAAGGAATGTTTTATTTCCCCAAAGATAAGAATGAAAATAAGTATTTGGAAATATTCTTGTATCTCCAAATGACATGTAGGAAATTCTTGTTGGTTAAGATCATATGTCCTGAGTCAAAAAAATCTGTTGAGAGTTGACCTGTAAATTTTTGCATTTGCTTTTATCAGAAACTGTTAAAGAACTTCAATATATTTAACAATTCATAAGTAATCTATCTTTTAATCATTTGCAAAAAAGAAAATAGATAAGAGCAGTTATTAGAGAAAAATAAAATATTCTTTATGTATGTTTGAAGAAAAAATGAAAAAATTGTGTCATATTCATTAATTTAAACAATATAAACTAATACTGTTTGTATGAAAATACCTTTGATTACTCAGTTTTCTTAAATATTAATGAATATATTGAAGATTCACCTGTTTTAGTAAAATGTTGATCAGACATTTCATATTTTAAATTCAATGGTAGAAAATACAGTCAAGCAAATTTGTGAAATATGAGCATGAAGAAACAAATTTAGCTTTAATTCTTACCTGTTCTGATTAGTTAGTAGGTGAATTCATTATTTAGCAACCTGAGTATTGAGTATTTTATATCGTTAGCACCTCTTATCAGCAGAGAAGTGTGTTATAATATAGAGCCTGAACAACAAAGCTGTTATAAGGCCACACAATTTGTTTTATAGTTTCTCATTAATTACAGCTAATTCCATGCTTAAAAGGGTATTTATTTTTCTGATTTTATATTTTCTTTGATTAAAAGGGAAGCTAATATAATTTTCTATTTAAATTTTCTTAAGATAAATAGCATGTAAGGTTTACCTCTGCAGCTACTTACTAGCTGCCTGACTTTGGGCAAAATCCTTGATCTCTCTGTCTCACTTTTCGTATCTGTAGATTGTGGATAATAATAGTACATTCTTCAGTGGTGTTTTGTAAAGATTAAGTAAAATTATCCAGCAAAAATGTGCATAACATAATTTCTGGATTATAGAAAGATAAAATTAAGGCTCTCTATCATTTTTCTTACTTATTATAGCATACAATGTACATTTTTATAAGAATCTTAGGAAGAATTTATGCTCATCTTACTACTGTGTATTAAGGTACTTTGCTTGAAAACTGTTTTCTCTTTAATCTTAAAGCCTAAAAATCATGTTATTGGTAAGCGTATTAATCCATTCTCCACTGCCATAATGAAACACCTGATACTGAGTAATTTATAAACTGAAGAGGTCTAACTGGCTCATGGTTCCAATGGCTGTACAAGAAGCATGATGCCGGCCATCTGCTCAGCTTCTTGTGAGGGTCAAGAAACTTACAATCATGGCAGAAAGTGAAGAGGAAGTAGGCTCATCTTACATTGCTGAAGCAAGGGCAAGAAAGAGAGGTGGAGAGGAGGTACTACACACTTTTAAATAACCAGGTCTCATGAGAACGGTATCATGAGAACAGCACCAAAGGGATGGTGCTTAAACCATTCATGAAAGATCTTCCCCCATGATCTAATCACCTCCCACCAGGCCCTATCTCCAATATTGGAGATTACCATTGAACATGAGATTTTGATGGGGATATGGATCCAAACCGTGTGATTCCACCCCTGGCCCCTCCCAAATCTCATGTCCTCACATTGCAAAATACAATCATCCCTTCCCAATAGTCCCCAAAGACTTAAGTCATTCCAGCGTTAACTCAGAAATCCCAAGTCCAAAATGGCATCTAAGACAAGGCTAGTCTCTTCTGCCTATGAATCTGTAAAATCAAAATGAGTTAGTTACTTCCAAGATACAATGAAAGTGTAGGCATTTGGCAAATACTCCCATTCCAAAAAGAAGAAGTTTGCCAAAATAAAGAGGCTACAGGCCCCATGCAAGTTCAAAACCAAACCAAGCAGAGCAGTCATTAAATGTTAAAGCTTCAAAATAATCTCCTTTGACTCCATGTTTCACATCCAGGGCACACTGATGTAACGGGTCGGCTTCCAAGGCCTTGGGCTGCTCTGCCTCTGTGGCTTTGCAGGGTTCATCCCCTGTGGTTGCTCTCAGGGACTGGCATTCAGTGCCTATGATTTTTCTAGGTACAGGGTGCAAGCTGCTGGTGGACTACCATTCTGGAGTCTGGAGGATGGTGGCCCTCTTCTCACAGCTCCACTAGGCAGTGCCTCAGTGGGGATTCTGTGTGGGGACTCAACTCCACATTTCCCTTCTACGTTGTCCTACTAGAGGTTCTTCATGAGGGTTCCATCATTGCAGCAGACTTCTGCATGGACATCCAGGCTTTTCCATACATCTTCTGAAATCTAGGCAGAAGCTCTCAAGCCTCAGCTCTTATACTCTGCACTCACAGGCTTAACAGCCTGTGGAAACCACCAAGGCTTACAGCTTCCAAACTCTGAAGTAGTTGCCTGAGCAGTACCTGGGCTCCATTGAGCCACAGCTGGAGCTAGAGTGGCTGGGATGCAGGGAGCAGTGTCCTGATGCTGTGCAGGGCAATGAGGCCCTGGGCCTGGTCCAAGAAACCATTCTTCCCTCCTATGCTTCCTGCCTGTGATGGGAGGGATTGCCACAAAAGTCTCTGAAATGCTTTCCAGGCTTTCTCTCCATTGCCTTGGCTGTCAGCACTTGCCTTCCTTTAGTTATGCAAATATCTGCAGCCTGCTTGAATTCCTTTCTTGCAAATGGGCTTTTCTTTTCTATTATATGGCCATGGTACAAATTTTCCAAAACTTTTAAATATAAGTTTCAGTTTCAGGTTACTTTTTTGCTCATGCATATGAGCATAGGTTTTTAGAAGCAGCCTGGCTACACCTTGAACACCTTGCTGCTTAAAAATTTCTCCTGCCAGATACCCTTAATCATCACTCTAAAGTTCAAATTTCCACAGATCCCTAGGGCAGGGGCACAATGCACCAAGGCTCTTTGCCAAAGGATAACAAAAGTTACCTTTACTCCAGTTTCCAATAAGTTCCTCTTCTCCATCTGAGACCTCATCAGTTTGGCCATCTCTGTTCACATTACTATCAACATTTGGGTTACAACCATTCAATAAGCCTCTAGGAAGTTCCAAACTTTCCTCATCTTCCTGTCTTCTTCTGAGCCCTTCAAACTGTTTTAACCTCTGTCCATTACCCAGTTTCAAAGCTGCTTCCACATTTTCAGGTATCTTTATAGCAATGCCCCACTCCTCAGTACCAATTTTCTATATTAGCCTATTCTTGTACTGCTGTAAAAAAAAAAAATACGTGACACTGGATAATTTATAAACAAAGAGGTTTAATTGGCTCATGGTTCCATGGGCTGTACAGGAAGCATGATGCTTGCCCTCTGCTTGGCTTCTTGGGAGGCCTCAGGAAACTTACAGTCCTAGTGGAAAGTGATGGGAAAGCAGCCTCATCTTACATGGCCAGCACAGGAGCAAGATGTCAGGGGGAGATGCTTCACACGTTTAAACAACTAGACCTCGTGAAAACTCTATTATGAGAATAGCACCAAAGGGATGGTGCTAAACCATTCTTGAAGGATCCACCCCTATGATCCAATCACCTCCCATCAGGCCCCACCTTTAACACTGGGGATTATAATTTAACATAAGATTTGGATGGGGACACGGATCCAAACCATATCAGTAAGATTGCCTAACTGCTAGATATTTTAGGGAACTATTTATGATTCTCTCAAACATATCTGTATTTATCAGGATGGGCCAACTTATGTGTTAGTAACAATCTCCAAATTTTGGTAGTTTAGTTTATTTAAAGAAAATTCTAGCTAGTGCAAAGTCTCTAGGTCAGCATTCCTTCATGCGTTTGCCCATCCTTCTAAGCTGCTTTGATTTTATGACACTTCATATTAATTAGTGCCCTGATGATGTGGCAGTGCAAGAGAGAACTGCACGACAGCTTCTACATGCTTTTAACTGGAAGCGACGTACCCCATATTCACATTATATTGGCCCAAGTCAATTACTTGGCCATGCCAAGTGATTGATATGATTCGAATGTGTGTCCCTGTGCGAATCTCATGTCAAATTATAATCCCCGATGTTGGAGGAGGGGCCTGGTAGGAGGTGATTGGAACATGGGGGTAGACATCCCCCCTTGCTGTTCTCATGAGACCTGGTTGCTTAAGTGTGTGGCACCTCCCCCTTCTCTTCCTCCTGCTCCGCCCATGTAAGATGTGCCTCTTTTCTCTTTGCCTTCCACCATAATTTTAAGTTTCCTGAGGCCTTCTTAGCCAGGCTTTCTTTACAACCTGTAGAACCATGAGACAATTAAACCTCTTTTCTTTATAAATTTATAAATTACACAGTCTCAGGCGGTTCTTTTTAGCAATGCAAGAATGGACTAATACACTGATCTTTAAGGAGACAGGGTAAGACAATCCTCCCTTGTGCTTAGTGGGGTGAACTGGATAACAGTAAAGAGCAAAGATGCTTAACAAAATAAAATAAATTTCTTAAGAAAAATACTTTGCTATATTTTATGTTTCCAATGTTGTTTTTCTTTCACTCTTACATGTAATTCATATCACCTTACATTATGCATCTTAAATTTTGCTAGAGCAAGATGAGATAAAATGTGCCTTCAGAGAAGGGAACTTTGTCTTATTTGTAGTAGCCTCAACACCTGTAATAGTGCTTGGCAAAGATAGAAATATATTAAGTTATTATATTAATCAGCAAAAGATCTTAACAAAAGGAATATTTTTAATAATGAAAATAACTATTAGCATATACTTTAATATGTTTTGTTTTGTACATCCTCATGGACACAAACGGAAAAAGTTACCTGAGGTCACATGACCAAGCAGTAGCACTTACAGATGCCATCAAGCTGTCTCATAATCCAGTGCTATGATTAAGTCACAAATTAAATAAGTAAGGTGGAGGGGAGAAGAGAAATAGATAAAAGAAGCAGAAGTAAAGACATCATAAAAGAATACTGTCTTATTTCTAGGTAAGTGACAAGAAGTAATTCATAGATATTTTTCTATTTGAGAGACAGAGTTCTCAGTACTAAGATAATAAAAGATGAAAGGACTTCCACTTCAATGATAATATATGTAAGAAGAATATAAATAGCTTTTTTTATTGAAATGGAGAGTGTAGGTGTGAAAATTATGCATATGCATGTCTGTGGCTCTTGAGGAATGAAATTATCTACGTGGGTTGAAGGTACCAGTAAGCATTAAGCTCTGAGTACTTAGAAAAACATACAAATATTTTAAAAATAATTTTAAGGAGTGCTAATAGTAGTGGAAGCAATAAATTTAAAAATTATCTTCCAAACAAACATTGCTCCTTCTGTGGGAAACATGATGAGATATTCTCATTCACTGCTGTAATAATGATTCAAGTGTGTAATATTCTATTTAACTTAGCAGACCTGCAAAGTACTGTCTTCCAGAAAAACAGATGTTTCTTCAAGGAATACATGAAACCTGCTATTAAAATTATCTATTTCTGTGGAATATACTTAGCAATCACTAAAAATAGAATTATTATTTTTTAAAATTTAGATACTATACTAAAATATTTCAGTATTAGCAAATACTGAATTTAATAATATCCCATTCTCTTCACATTATCAAAGATGTTGTGATTTACATAAATGCAGCTGATAGTGTTTTTTCTTTCCTTTTTTGTTGCAGCATAACTTAAATAGAGTAAAATTCACCTTCTTATATTACAGTTCAGTGAGTTTTGACAAATATATATAATCATGTAAGCACCACCAGAATCAAGAAACAGAATGGTGGCATCACCCTCTAAAAATCCCTCATGTCTTTTTGTGCTCAACCACTGCCCGTATCCTTAGCCCGAGGTAACCACTGATCTGTTTTCTGGTGTTGTAGTTTTGCCTTTCCAAGAAGATCCTATAATTATAATTCAACAATATATAAACTTTAACTCTGTCTTCATCACAGCATAATGCATTTGAGACTTACTCATGTTTTTGCATGTATCAATAATTAGCTTATTCATTTTTGTTGTTTGTTGCTTAGTAATATGCCGCTATGTAGATATACCACAGTTTGTTTATTTACTTCTCAGTTGAATAATATTTGGGCCATTCTACCTTCTGGTGATTGTGAGTAAAGCTTCTATCAATGTGTGTGTACTTACTTGGGTAAGTACCTGGCAGTGGGATTGATGGGTTATATATTAAGTGTTTGTTTAGCTCTGAAAGAAATTGTCAGCCAGGCATAGTGACTCACAGCCTAAAATCCCAGCACTTTGGGAGGATGAGGTGGGTGGGTCAGTTGAGGCCAGGAGTTTGAGACCAGCCTGGCTGATATTGTAAACCCCATCTCTACTAAAAATACAAAAAAAAAAAAGTACCTGGCCATGGTGGCACATGCCTGTAATCCCAGCTGTTCAGGAGGCTGAGGCACGAGAATCACTTGAGCCTGGGAGGTGGAGGTTTCAGTGAACTGAGGTCATGCCACTGCACTCCAGCCTGGGTGACAGAACAAGACTCTGTCTCAAAAAAACAAAAATAAAACAAATGAACATAAAATAAATTGCCAAGCTTTGTCCAAAACAGGTGTCATTTTGCATTTACAACAGCAATGTGTAAGAGTTGCCTTTGCTCAATATCCTCCTCAGAATTTGGTATTTGATTATTTGGTAATTGATTAACATGATAACAATAGTCATTATTATTATTACTTTAGCCATTTTAATAGGGCTGCAGTGGAATCTCATTGTAGTTTTAATTTTTTTTTTAAATACAACAATATTGAGTATCACTTCATATGCTTACTTGCTATCCATTTGTATTTACTGAAGTGTTTTTTCAAATTTTGTGACGATATACTATTGGATTGGTTTTCTTCTTACTGAGTTTTGAGTGTTGTTTATATATTCTAGATACAAATCCTTTATCATCTAAGTGCTTTGCAAATATTTTCCTCTGGTCTGTTCCTTGTTTATCACATTTTCTTAAGAGGAGAAATGTTCAATTATGATAAAATCCAATTTATCATTTTGCCCCTTAACTGCTAAAAGTTTATAAGTCTCCCAATCTTTGCTGTGGGATGGTGTATGTGCTGGCACACACCTGTAATGCTCAGGCAGGTAGCTTATAACTCTATCCCAGCCCTCATTTCTTGCTTCATAGAGCCGCAACATGTGGCCTTCTAGATTCCTAGGAATATATTGGACCTTTGCAAAATGCTTAAAAACTCATTCCCCAAGTTTTATTTTTATATTTTTGGTCACTTTTTCCCCCCAACGAGTTATCACTGCCATGGGCAGCTGCAATATTAAGCAATTGCTGCTGATTGTTTTTGACAAATGCCTTCAGAGGAAAGGCTGTTTGCCCTGACTGAGCTTTCATTTAGGTCAAATAAAGAAAAGCTGGATGAGGGGGATTTTGAGAAAACTGCCAGACAAGTCAAATAATGACAATTTTCTGAAAATAATGATTTTGGAGAGCTCCAAACCTGTTTTGCCACCTCCAGTGGCTGCTGTTTTTCACCATGATTTAGTAGCCACTGTTTTTCAGTGTTACCGCAAAGCTGTGAAAAGACAGATGAAAAAAAAGTGAGTTAAATATTCTTAACAAGATTCAGCATTTTGTTTTAAATAAATACTTCTTTGTTACAAGCCTTTAGTTGTTACTAGAGTTTTGAAAAAGTTGGCATTGACAATTCTTCCAGTGTTCTCATTGTTTCTATAGAGAAGCGACATTTTGCAAATTTGTACTCCACCATTCCTGCTGATGTCTGCAAATGACTTCTTGTTTCAAGTTCTCTAAAAGCTACATTTGTGGTTTAGCTTTTTTTTTCTTAACTTTATAGACATGAAGCCAGTCATAGGTCAATCACCAGAACCACATCTCTTGGCCTTAATATAAAATTATATAATACTTTTAACAAATGAATATTTTTATATTATGAAACCTCACATTTTTAACATGAAGCCTCTGAGGATCTTCAGACTCATGCCATGTAGTGTCATGTCATTCCTAACTGACTAATGGGATCTCTCTTGGTAGGTTGTCTATGGTTCAAAGAACTTGTGTGATGGATATATTTGCTAGTACAAAACAAGGATATGCCTGCATGTCAGCACAGTTCACCTTTCCTCACAATGAGAGTAAAGGAGTAAGGGCTAGTTCTTCTGTTTGAGGGTCTGCCCATGAGTAATGAGAAATGTACAAATAATTATTTAATGACAATATTTAAATAAATACTGAATGAAAAAATATTGTGTGATCCGGAAACTGGTGAAGGATATTTTTCTGGTTATCTATTGTTGCATAGATATTGTTGCCCTCAGAGATGGCAAAAATACATAAAATAAGTGGAAAAAACTCAAATAACGTTAAAAAGTCACGATATCTCAAGTTGCCTGTCTCTGAAAACTTCCACCTTAGCACTTTGGGGCCAAAATAATCTTCCTTACACTAATACTACTTAGTCCTAGAGCTGTGTTGCCATGTCAACCACCCTCTCTATTAACTCTTACTTTCACCTAGATTCAAATCTTTATTTTCTAATATATCTATTGTTGTATACATATCTGAGATCAGCATAATTGCAGTGTATCATACTGTTTACATTAATGTGTTTTTGAGTCAAACAATTTTAGGTTTAAATTGTATTTCACAGCTTATTAACCATAAGATCACAGGCAAGTTTCATAACCTCTCAAAACTTATTTCTCCACATTTATAAAATGGAAACAATAATAACTAACCAATTCAGTTATGTTGAACATTTAATGATAATTATAATAGAAACACAATGATAGTACAAGACCCAAATCCCTTGTTTCCACCTGTAAAATCCAGAAATGTTTGAAAACTTAAGATTTGGAAAGGTATATTTGGTGTCAAAATCTCACATGAAATGTAGTGATGTAATGCTATTTTACATATATGTATAAATAATTTAGATAGGGTGGTCACGTAAGAGTTCTCTGATAAAACGTTCTGTTCAGAATGTGTGTGTGTATATATATACACACACTGTATATATATACACACACTGTATATATATATACATACACTGTATATATATATATATACACACTATATATATAGATACACTATATATATACACACTATATATATACACATATATATTCTGTGAATATGTATACACTTTCTGCAGAATTATTAATGTATTTAGTTCCCAGACTCAGCCTTAAATTAATTATAAGATTTTGTGGACCTGCAATAATAAAGTACCTTTAATTTTATTTTGTTTGTGTTCTTTCTTACTTCTTTAATAGAAGGAGAGTAATCTAAGTAGCACTGTGGTGGATGTTAACTGAGGCTAACCTTTGTAAGGAATTAGGAGGCAGAGCTCTCATCTCTTCCAAGATGTGTTTTCAGGCTGTGATGCTAAAAGGTAGAATAGGCAAAGCAATGTAGATATGCAGCTTTATGATTTCCCAACATTGATTTGAAATGAAACAGTGGGAGAAACAAGCAGAATTCAGAAGCTCTCTCAACATTATGTCTCAGTTAGACTCATATAACTCATATTCTTCCTTGAACTTACTCAATTTTTGATGGCACAAACATTTTATTAATTTTTCTCCTATTTTCCTCTGGTCTTGGCCTCAGTGAACTATGTATAATTACAGAGTTAGTTACTCTTTATCAAATTTGGAGGATTTTTCCCCTTCAAAATTTAACATAAAATGGGAATCTCATTGCCAAAAGATTGGAGGATGTATGAGGACTTTAATCTCAGTTGTGTGCTGTGCTTATTTTGTTCAGCCTCCAACTGTAATCTTGCTGCTCTTCATTTTTGTGGTCGCAAAAATGTAAATATTCTTTAGGTCCTCCCTGCTGATATTGCTGTGATCTATAAGTTCCTGTGGATCTGTACACATTCCCCTGCATTCTAGTTTCACTTGCAATATTTCCTTAGTCTTGGTACTATTTTTTTCTTGAAATTCAAAACAAATACATTCCACTCAGCAATTATGACTATTATTATTAATCAGATGAAAAAGCTATGGAAGTCAAGACTTTTTTTTCTTTGTGAAACATTGCCAAGTACACTAAAACTAAACTAAAATTAAATTTAAAACAAAATAACTTAAAATCTTATTTATTTAAATAACAATTTTACTATTAAAATAAATTAAATATTTGATCTAAATTAGATTTCTGCTTATAATAGTTTCTAATCAGGATGACCAGTAGTAATAATGCATTTTTAAAAGTAGAGGAGAAAAAACTCATTTATTGTAAACATATATTTATATATTTAATTACTTTTTAAATTCAATAAATAATCCTTTAATTAGTGTTAGTAGTGGAACACATCAATTCAACTCACAGAATAACATCATTCTATAAGCACAAAAATTAAAAACTAATGAAGTCAATTGTTAGCTTTTAAAAGAATAGGCTTATGTATACCACAGATAAACACATTATGTAGTATTTTACGATGAGATCTAACCATAAAGATACTAACAATTACTGTCCCATAAACTAAATGTGTCTTTTAAATGAAAACTTTCATGCAATTGAATTAAATGTATAAGGCTGATTCATTGATTACAAATAGATCTAGAAAATAAAAAAGAAACACATTATCCTGGGAAAAGTATTGTGCTAAACAAAGAAATGTGCAGGTATCATATCAATGAGTTAACTCAGTGTTCTCATATACTAACTAAACATCTCAAAGATGTCAGGAATCAGTCTGTGCATACATAAATTCAAAAAATAATATTTGTAGTGGTGTGTAGTAAAGATGTCTGTCAGAGTATATTTTAATTCACTTCAAAATTTTAGTGTAATTTAAATTTTTAATTTTCAACAATATTTTTTCTACCATAGTGGTATTAGTCTTTTCTCATGCTGCTAATAAAGACATACCTGAAACTGGATAATATATAAAGGAAAGAGATTTAATTGACTCACAGTTTCACATGGCTGGGGAGGCCTCAAAATCATGGCAAAGGCAAAGGAAGAGCAAAGTCATGCTTTGCTTTGCTCCTTTATAAAACCATCAGATCTCATGAGATGTGTTCACTATCATAAGAACAGCATGGGAAAGACCCACCCCCATGATTCTATTACCTCCCACTGTGTCCCTCCCATGACACGTGAGAATTATGGGAGCCTACAATTCAAGATGAGATTTGGGTGGGGACACAGCCAAACCATATGAGTAATTAACACAAAATACTGATTTTGAAAGCAGAAATTAATAACAGAATATCCTAATTAATTTTGGCTTAACTTTATTAGGGTTTTGAAAATTGATTGCCAATGTAATTTTTTATTGACTTAAAATATATAATTTTTCATTTTTATCATCCTGTGTTGTATGTTTTCTCTTTCTATATAATTTATACATTTTTTCTGATAAATGATTACTAATTTTTATAAGACAATGACCTCTAATCACTAATTTAAATGTTTTCTTTAGAGAATAAAATTATACACATTTTATTCATCAACAAATGTTATCTTAAGCTTTCATGAAGGTATTTACATCTAACAAGTGAGAGCTTTTTATGGGATCTGCTATTTAATTTGGTGTTCTATTTTCTTTATATTTGTAAATATCTTATAATTTACATTCAATTGCAATTGGTCAATCACCACCAAATTTCACAGTAACTCCTATGTGAAAATAGTACAATAATCTTAATGCTAACTACCTGTTCACATCTTTTCCCATGAAATGATCCTGTGGATTTTCAAGAAGTCCAGAACTTGAGGCAAATATATAGATTACCAGGAAGAGAATCAGAAGTTCTTTAATCATGGGTTGCAGAACATCAAGCTTGAAATTGGCAAAAAAAAAACAAAAAAAAAAAGAGAGGGAAAAGGAGGAAAACCCAACTATCTTCTGCATTAAAAAATACAAGCACATTTTCACTCAAAAAGGATGACCTAAAACCTTTAAATCTAATATTGATTACAGAGAAATTATTTCGTTTTATAGTGGAAAATGTATTTTGAAGGCAAATTCTAACTAGATTAGAATATTAGAAATTCTCAGGCACACTAGCTTTTGATTGCTGAAGTTTCAGTCTTGCAAAGCTGTCAGCAAAATTACATAAATCTTATTTTTAAATTTCTACAAAGGTGGTCTGAACAATTCTTATTAGTTATTACTTTTTCAGTCCCCAAACATCTTTTCTAAATAATTCATTTCTAGGCATGCCTATTTTTACTGAAATATGATAGAGGATACTTCATTCAACAAAACTCATTGAGTTTGCGTGTTATAACTACATCTTCATTTGGTAGAAACTTGCTATCTATAAAGTAAACCATTTTGTTTATTCTTCATTTCTTTTTTTTTTTTTAAAGAAAACACTGATTAAACACAGTAAGAAACTACAATGTGAAAAATTAGACATTGGGAGCCAAAGCTGCTTTCGAAAAGTTTGCCTATCAAGAGAGGAAGCAAAATAACAGTTCCTCGAAGCAAGTACTGTGGAGGGAATACAGTGAAATACTTTTGAGTTAAAATTATTAAGCTGAAAGAGTAATGGCTAGTAATTCATTTAGTGGCTACTCTGTTACATCTACTTCATCTCACTTGGTCTTTGCAAAATTTAATTAAGCTGATGATATGATTTCAATTAAAAATTTAAGGAGACTGAGCTACTCGGGAGGCTGAGGGAGGAGAATGGCATGAACCTGGGAGGAGGAGCTTGCAGTGAGCTGAGATCGCGCAGCTGCACTCCAGCCTGTGTGACAGAGCAAGACTCCGTCTAAAAAAAAAAAAAAAAAAAAAAAAATTGAGGAGACTGAAGTGTAGTGAATTTATGTAGCTGTTCACTGATGCTTAGCTACTGCATTGAAGGGCCAGTGCCTCACATAGAACTTGGCACACAGGGTATGCCCCCAAAATATTTGTTAAATTATAGTTAACAAGAGTGAATACAAAACAGAGAGAGATAGAAAGAAAAGAAAAAAAATTTCTTTGAATGGAAGGTTTATACTCTTTTTTTCTATGCCATGTTTATGGTATACTTAGATTTTCTTTTTAAAGGATAGGACAATTTTGAACTCTCAGTTACATATGTTAAAGTACATTTTAATAAAAATATTCCAAAATATCATTGCCTCCCAAATCATTTTGGCATCCAAAAATGTGCGAACACATATTGTAGAAGTGATAAGAACCTTTTTCTTGTTACTGTTTTCCTTGTAACATCACTTAATCTATGTACTAAAACTCCTACCCTGAGCTTCAATGAACACATACAAGACTGATTTGCTCACCCTGAATTCCACAATAGAACAACTGGAGTTTAGATTTATAATGAGATAGATAACTTTATAATGAGATAGATAAAGATAGAAGCAGGGATTATGACAGCTCATCTTTACTCATTAAATATTATAACCAGCAGATGCTGTCTGTATCTAACAAAGACAGTAAGATAAATAATCACTTTCAACTCGTTTGTATTATTTTGTCCTCCTTCATCTTCTATAATTCATAAAGCTACTTGATAGCATTTCGGAGCTGTCTTAAACTTACAACTGTTATATAATTTAATTTCACATAGCTGGGCCACCTTATTTAAATTCTCATTACTTTGACATTTTCAAAACTTATGGAGTCATCTGAGATTATCTTAGTTTGCCAGAAAATTATTGAACATAGTTTGGATCCATTATAAAAGTTTGAAAATCATTACCTTTGAAAATTTTTGGTTCAATAAAATCACAGATGCTGAAAACCTTCAGTCATTCATCTTATATCTATTTCTTTAACATTTTCTGACACAGATATTAACATTGTACCTAAATCCACAGAACTAGAGAGTTCTTACATTGAATATTTCTCTGATAAAAAGGGAGACTCATTATAGTGAAACAGCACATAACAGTAAAAATCCCTAATTTAAACTGAGGTTTGTTGCTTGATAATTTTTTTTTTAAATCTTCCTTAGATATCTGTGGACAAAATAATTAGAACAAATTGCTTCCAAGATGTCAATATAGGGGAGAAGTAGAGTTGCTATAATTAGAAGCAAGAGCACTATTTTCAGCTTCTGTTTCTTAAAATGCAGCTTCTAATGCTTCTTTTCAGTGACCCAATTGTTTTGATATTTGCATATAAGCAATCTAGTCCTCTTATCTGATGCACATTGACTAATTTACAGGTTCACTTTCTTCACTTAAATCTTCATGTTACTGTAAAAGGATAAGAAATTTCTGTACTGCAGAACCCATGTTGATGATTACATTTGTTCATATCTGACACAGAAATGAATGAAACTTTGCCAGATTACAATAAAGCCAAATATTTGCCTCAAATGGAAGAGACACTGCTGAATGACATAAAGTCTTTTTTGGCCTTCTTTTGTACTACAATAAATAAATTTAAGTTTGGTTTGTAAATTTCAAGCATACAACACTGGGAAAAGGACCCTAAATTTTCTATCACATTTTGGAGCACAGGCACTCTCTCCTACAATACCTGTTGCATTGATTGAAGGGATTTTCATCCCTGTCACAGATTAAAATTACAGTATTCCTCCCTTTGTCTTTGGTTTTGCATACTGTGCTTTCAGTTACCTGTGATTAAATATGGTATGAAAATATTACATGATAAATTTCACAAATAAATTGTTCATAAGTTTTAAATTGTGCACCATTTTGAGTAGCACGGTAAAATATTTCCTTGTCCTGCTCCATCCCTCCTCATCCCACTTGGGGATCTAAATCAGGATCTGAATCATCCCTTTGCCCAGTACAAAGCTACAATAATCAAAACACTATGTTACTGGCGTTAAAACAGACACAAAGAACAGAATAATGGGCTCAAAAATAAACCCATGCATATATTATCAACTAATCTCCCACAAGCGTGTCAAGAATACGCAATTGGGAAAGGATTCTGTGTTGAATAAACAGCGTTGGAAAAACTGAACATCCACATGCAAAAGAATGAAATTAAACACTTTTCTTACATCATACAGAAAAATAAACTGAAAATGGATTAAAGACTTAAATGATTTGAAATAATGAAACTCATAGAAGAAAATATAGAAAAAAAAAGTTTTTTAACATTGGCCATGGCAATTATTTCTTGGATATAACATCAAAGCTACAGGCAAAATACCCAAAAGTAGACAACTGGAATTACATCAAAACTAAAAAGCTTATGAATGGCAAAAGAAACAATAAAAAAAGTGAAAAGGTAATATACAGAATGGGAGAAAATATTTGTAAACCATAGATCTGATAAAGAGTCCATAACCACAATATTTAAGGATCTCCTACAGCTCAATAGCAAAACAAACAAAAACAACAAAAAATCATGTAACCCAATTGAAGAGTGAATAATAAAATCCCTAAATATACATTTCTCCAAGGAATATATAGAAATGGCCAACAGGTACAGGAAAAGGTGTTCAGTACCACTAATCATCATAGAATGTAAATCTATAACTAGATATCACCTCACACTTGTTAGGATAGTTATTATCATAAAAACAAAAAATAACAAATGTTGGTGAGAATGTAGAAATACCACTGCTGAAAAGGTAAACTGGTGCAGCTGCTATGGAAAACAGTATAGAGGTTTCCCAAAAAAATTAAAAATATATCTACCATTTGTGCTAGCAATTTCATTTCTGGTTATATATCTAAAGTAATTAAAATCAGGATCTTAAATAAATATATGGATTACCATGTCATTGCATCACTATTCTCCATAGCCAAGACATGGAAGCAATCAAAATGCTCACTGATGGCTGAATTTATAAATCAAATGTTATATATATACCATTAACTAAGCAGGAGGCCATTGGCCTCAGGCTATCTCATTACTTTGAGTTCCTATATAACCAACAGCAACCTAACTTACGAAGTAAACAATCGAAAATATAATTAGGACTATAACAAACACTTGAGTTTCAGCCAATTGCAGACAGCCAACCGATCAGACCATGCCCCAAAACCCAATGTCTAAATGTAGACAAACAGGTGATTTCTCCACATTTCTTCCATGTTCAGCCTATAAAAGCTTTTTGCTCATGCAGCTGGGTGGAACTCTCTGAAACTCCTCTGGTTCTTAGTGCTGCATGGTTCGTGAATTATTCTTTGCTCTAAGAAACTGTATTAAGTTTAATCTGTCTGTTTTTTTTAAATAATACATACAATGAAATTTTACTCCACATTTAAAAAGATGGAAATTCTTCCATTTGTCACAAGATGGATGAACCTAGAGGACATTATGCTAAGTGATATAAGCCAGACACAGAAGGACAAATACTATATGATACAACTTATACAAATATTTTAAAATAGTCACACTCATAGAAGCAGAGAGGGGAATGGTGTTTGCCATAGGCTGGAGTGAGAGGGAAATGGAGAGGTATTAGTCAAAGGGTATAATGTTTCAATTACACAAAAGGAATACATTTTATTGATCTACTGCCTATTGTCTATAGTAAACCATATTGTATTGTATACTTAAACAATTGCCAAAAGTGTAGGTCTTTTGCTAGATGATATTAATACAAACAAAATAATAATGATTAAGGAGGACAGGAGAGGGAATGCATACGTTTATGATATAGATTCTGGTAATGGTTTTATAGGTATACAATTATCTTCAAATTCATCAAGTTGTATATATTAAATATGTATGGATTTTTATAGGTAAATAATATCCAACAAAGTAATTTTTAAAGAAAATATATTACTATGATCCATTAGATTATTTGATGAAATAAGTAATTAAAAGTGAAGTAAATTAAGAAAAGTACTGCTTCAAGTTCCATACTTATATTGAAATCTGTATTAAATTAACAAAGATACTGCCTAAAGTTTTATATTTACTTTTTACAGAACTTTTAGAAAATGAAGAATTAAAAACATTTATAATGTAAAGACTAGCTAAAAAAATCTATGGCAAACATTATTTTCAATGGGAAAAAGTTTTAAACATAGTTTAAAGAGAAAGAACAAGACAAGGACTTCCATTATCTATGCCTTTGCTCAATATGTTATGTAAAATATGTTAAAAACAATAAGAAAAAGGAAAAAAGTTAACCATTTGGAAAGGAGGATATAATTCTATGGTCATTTCCAGAAAACATAGAGACCTATATAAAGTCCAAGCGACCAAAAACCTTTTAAAACTATTAGAAAATTGTAACAACATTGCAGAATACAAAATCAATAAGTCAGGGACATTTTGCCACAACATTAAGAATGATTTATATAATGTAATAAAAAAGACTTGCAATTTACAACAGCAACAAAAACTATAAAATACCTAGGAATCAACTTAATCAAATATTTAAGTATATTTATAAAGAAAGTTTTTAAATGCTATAAATGTGTGAAAAAATAACCTCCATAAATAGAAAAATATGGCAAATTAAAATAGTGGAAGTTTTAAGAATACAAAGATCATGTTTTTCCTCAATGGTATGTTAATGAAATTACAGCAAAGTTTTTTTTCTATGAGGAGGATATATTCAAAAATTTATAGAAATAATAGTTTGGTTGGGTCTTTTTGGTGGGTGTTGGGGGAGAGCAAGGGCATTATAAGAAGAAAGGGAAAATCAGATCCACCCTAACAAATAGTAGGTATTAATAACAACCAGTAGGTATGAATAAGTCTCAGTGTCTTAGTCTATTTTCTGCTGCTATAACAGAGTACTACAGAGTGGGTAATTAATAAACAATAGAAGTTTATTTGGCTCATGGTTTTAAGACTGGAAAATCCAAGATTGTGGGACCAGTTCTTGTGAGTACCTTCTCCCAGTGTTATAATATGGCAGAAGGCACCACACGGAGGGGAGAGAGAGGTAGGGAGAGAGAGAGAAAATTGTGCTGAACTCATCCTTTTCATCAGGAACCTACTCCCTGATAACTAACCAACTTTCTCACTAACGGCATTAATCTATTTATGAAGGCAGAACCCTCATCACCTAATCACCTCTTAAAAGTCTCACCTTCCAACAGTTACAATGGCAATTCAATTTCACCTCGAGTTTTGCAGGGGACGTTCAAACCACAGTAATCAGTAATTAAAATTTGAGACCAGACACTTGGAAATTAAATAAAACAGTTAATTCTTTTATTCTATTGGCAGCTACACATAACCTACATGTAACACTTCTATATCGTGATGTGGAGAAGTATTCCTTTATTACGTATGGATAGTCAGCTCTCTCAATAATCCAGTGAACTACTCAGTGTTTTCAGTAAACTCCTTTACTGCTGAAGTCAGCCTGACTCAGCTTGCATTCTATCTTTGCTAAATGTTGTAAAGGCTTCCACCTTTCACTTTTCAACAGCTTTTGTGCCGTTAATAGTTATCAAAAAAAAAAGATTTATCCACAAGATCTTCAGCATCATAAGCCTATATATAAAATGAGGTTTCAGAAACCTACAACCCTTCATCATGATCCTTTCCAACCAAAGGTTTCAACTGTTGTGTAGAGTCCCCAAAGCACACCTTGTATAAGCTCAGTATTTCATTAGTATACAATATCTCTTGCTTTTGCTTTTCCCTCCAGTCTTACCTCTGTCTTAATCCATTTTGCATTGCTATAAAATATCCAAGGCTTGGGTAATTTATAAAGAAAGAAGGCTTATTTGACTCACAATTCTAGTGCCTAAAAAGATTGGGCCTCTGAATCTGGTGACGACCTCAGCCTGCTTCCACTTTTGGCTGAAGGCAAAGAGAAGCTGGTTGTACAGGTTACATGGTGAAAGAGGAAGCAGGTTGGGGTGGGGAAGGTGCCAGAATTTTTTTCAACAATCAGCTCTTGCAGGAACCAATAAAGTGAGAATGCATTCACACTAGGGCATTAATCTGTGCGTGAGGGATTGACTTTCATGATCCAAATACCTCTTATTATGCCTGAACTCCAACCTTGCAGATCAAATTTCGACATGAAGTTTAGAGGGGATAAATATCCAAACCATAGAAACCTCCTTCTTGTAAAATTCTTATAGGCAGCACTGTTTCAAAGAATTTTGCTACAACTGATATTGCTGATAGGGTTCTAGGTTTGGGTACCCAAATTCATGTCATTGATGTTGGTGTTGATGTTGCCTGCTGATATCCCCAATGCCTATAGTTGTCCCTGAAGAGGCCAGAACTATGGTGAGATGGCCTTGTCCCTAAGTCTGTGCCCTGCTTTGTCAGCTGGTCACTGAATCAATGTTGCTTGTATTTGAATTCTATGAGGTCTTTCAAGTAATGGGCTCTTCAGTTTCTGATTTAACCTTTTTCTCTGGGTTCAGTACCAATTCAATGAGCCAAGTAAAGCAGATTTAGACTGCCCCATAGCAACTGCATTCCATATTTTTCAGATGTACATGGAAACAAGAACAATCCTTCCTACTTTTCAACCCTCTCCTCAATAAAAAAAAACACAACATTTTCTATTTATCACAAATAAATTTAGATGTCTTATTTTGGGCTCCCCCAGAACACCCTAATACCCTTAAGAAAATATATTACTATGATCCATTAGATTATTTGATGAAATAAGTGATTATAAGTGAAGTAAATTAAGAAAAGTACTTAATACTTTTCTTAATTAAAGAAAGTAATCTTTCTTTACTTTTAAAGAAAGTAATCTTTCTTTACTTTTAAAGAAAGTAATCTTTCTTTACTTTTAAAGAAAGTAATCTTTCTTTACTTTTAAAGAAAGTAATCTTTCTTTACTTTTAAAGAAAGTAATCTTTCTTTACTTTTAAAGAAAGTAATCTTTCTTTACTTTTAAAGAAAGTAATCTTTCTTTACTTTTAAAGAAAGTAATCTTTCTTTACTTTTAAAGAAAGTAATCTTTCTTTACTTTTAAAGAAAGTAATCTTTCTTTACTTTTAAAGAAAGTAATCTTTCTTTACTTTTAAAGAAAGTAATCTTTCTTTACTTTTAAAGAAAGTAATCTTTCTTTACTTTTAAAGAAAGTAATCTTTCTTTACTTTTAAAGAAAGTAATCTTTCTTTACTTTTAAAGAAAGTAATCTTTCTTTACTTTTAAAGAAAGTAATCTTTCTTTACTTTTAAAGAAAGTAATCTTTCTTTACTTTTAATTAAGTAATTTCTTAATTAAAGAAATTAATTAAAGGCTTCACTTTTGGTCAGTTGACTGGGTGGCTGGGTTCACTTTACTCATGATGTTCCTAGGAGATCTTTCAACTATCTAACAATGTAAATGCTCATGGCAAGGTCTTGGTGGCAGTCGTTGTCTACCTGCACGCAACCACTTACTTATAAAGCTGTGATAGGGCATAGGTATTTGTCCCCTGGAAATATCATGTTGAAATGTAATCTCCAGTGTTGGAAGTGGGGCCCAGTGGGAAGTGTTTGGATCATTGCGGGTGGATCCCTAATGAATGGCTTAGCAACATCCCCTTATTGATGAGTGAGTTTTTTGCTCTGAGTTGATGTGAAACTGGCTCTTTAAAAGTGTGTAGCATCTCCCCGCTGTCTCTCTTGCTCCTGCTCTCGCCATGTGATATGCTGGCTCCCCCTTCTCCTTCAGCGGTGATTGGAAGCTTCCTGAGGCCTTCACCAGAAACAGATACCAGCACCACACTTCCTGTATAGCCTGCAGGACCATAAGCCTATTAAACTTCTTTTCATTGTAAATTACCCAGTCTCAGGAATTCCTTTAGAGCAATACAGAAATGGACTAACACAAGCTGTACAATGAAATCAGGCGGGTATAAGCACTGATTTATTTTGAGATTTAGGAAATACTTTGAGGCTTATATTCATAAAAGATTATCGGTGAAAGTAGTATTTACCAACTAAAAACTATCAGAGCTATAAAGTGTTCAGTTATGAGCCAACTTAATTTTATAAATAATTTCCTTTTGGGATCACAAATGCACTAGGTAAAAAAGAGTAAAAATAAAAAAATCAAGTGTGCTAATTGTGAAATTAAACATAAATAATTCAGCTGCCTATGACTGCAAACTACAGGCTCGAATGAACATAAGAAAATATTCATACTGAACACAGAATTCTCACAAAGTTTCTTACAAAATTTTCCTGGGCAGATCAGAAGCAGAGTAAACAAAAGACAAGAAAGAAAAAGACAAAGCAAGGGAGAACATGCTCAGAAAAAACAACTCTAATTCTACAACAGATTCTCTCCTTTCTTTGTACATAATTGCTGAGATACTTAATTCCTGTTTCAACTTTGGTTGATTTGATCATTTCAATTTTGATTTAATTTCTAATTTTCTTTTTTTTATTGTATTATTATTATACTTTAAGTTTTAGGGTACAGGTGCACAATGTGCAGGTTTGTTACATATGTATACATGTGCCATGTTGGTGTGCTGTACCCATTATCTCGTCATTTAACATTAGGTATATCTCCTAATGCTATCCCTCCCCCCTCCCCCCACCCCACAACGGTCCCTGGAGTGTGATGTTCCCCTTCCTGTGTCCATGTGTTCTCATTGTTCAGTTCCCACCTATGAGTGAGAACATGCGGTGTTTGGTTTTTTGTCCTTGCGATACTTTGCTGAGAATGATGGTTTCCAGTTTCATCCAGGTCCCTACAAAGAACATGAACTCATCATTTTTTATGGCTGCATAGTATTCCATGGTGTATATGTGCCACATTTTCTTAATCCAGTCTATCGTTGGACATTTGGGTTGGTTCCAAGTCTTTGCTATTGTGAATAGTGCCACAATAAACATACGTGTGCATGTGTCTTTATAGCAGCATGATTTATAATCCTTTGGGTATATACCCAGTAATGGGATGGCTGGGTCAAATGGTATTTCTAGTTCTAGATCCCTGAGGAATCACCACACTGACTTCCACAATGTTTGAACTAGTTTACAGTCCCACCAACAGTGTAAAAGTGTTCCTATTTCTCCACATCCTCTCCAGCACCTGTTGTTTCCTGACTTTTTAATGATCGCCATTCTAACTGGTGTGAGATGGTATCTCATTGTGGTTTTGATTTGCATTTCTCTGATGGCCAGTGATGATGAGCATTTTTTCATGTGTCTGTTGGCTGCATAAATGTCTTCTTTTGAGAAGTGTCTGTTCATATCCTTTGCCCACTTTTTGATGGGGTTTTTTTTTTTTTTTTTTTTTCCTTGTAAATTTGTTTGAGTTCATTGTAGATTCTGGATATTAGCCCTTTGTCAGATGAGTAGGTTGCGAAAATTTTCTCCCATTTTGTAGGTTGCCTGTTCACTCTGATGGTAGTTTCTTTTGCTGTGCAGAAGCTCTTGAGTTTAATTAGATCCCATTTGTCAACTTTGGCTTTTGTTGCCATTGCTTTTGGTGTTTTAGACATGAAGTCCTTGCCCATGCCTGCATCCTGAATGGTAACGCCTAGGTTTTCTTCTAGGGTTTTTATGGTTTTAGGTCTAACTGGCTTAACTATAAAATCTATCCTCATGCATATATAAGCATTATATATAAAGTGATGACTATGACTGTATTTGGAGATAGAGCCTTTAAGGATGTAATTAAGTTAAAATGAAGCCAGTAGGATGGGCCCTAGTTCAGTTTGCTAGCATCCTTATAAGAGGAATACATTTGGGGCTAGGCGTGGTGGCTCACACCTGTAATCTTAGCACTTTGGGAGGCCGAGGTGGATGGATTACCTGAGCTCAGGAGTTCAAGACCAGTCTGGACAACATGGAAGAACCTTGTCTCTACAAAAAATACAAAGATTAGCCAGGCATGGTGGCATGTGCCTGTAGTTCCAGCTACTTGGGGGGCTGAGGTGGGAAATTACCTCAGCCTGGAGAGGTCGAGACTGCAAGAGCCATGATCATGGTACTGTACTCCAGCCTGGGCAACAAAGTGACACCCTATCTCAAAAAAAAAAAAAATAAATTTGGACAAATAAGAGACACTAGGAATGCTTGTGCACAGAGAAAAGTCCATGTAAGGGAATAGCATGAAGGTGGCCACTGCAAACAACAGAGAGAAGCCTCAGTGGAAAGCAGATTTGCTGACACTTACCCTTGGACTGCTAGCCTCCAGAAGTAAGAGAAAATACATTTCTCTTGCTTAAGCCACACACTCTGTAGTATTTTTTTTTAATGGCAATTCTTGCAAAATCATACACATGGGGAAAAAGTTGAAGAAAGAAAGGCCTATGAGAGAAAAGTTTTCTTAATGTGTTTAACGAGCCAGCTATGTAGAACTGTATTCATAAACCACAGATGGGCCTTCAAAGTTCCTGGTTCTTACCAAGATGGTGACTCATCATGGCTGCTAGATCATTCCCTTGATATCAGTCTCAGAGAAGCTATAAAGGGAAAAGACCAAGATGCAAGATATGGAAGAAATTGTGGGGCATCCCTCAATTGATAACAAGTTGTTTTAAATGCAGTTGTTTATAGGATGATAGATTTGGCCTGAAGCAGGAGGATGGATATCCAGCAGGTCTATACAAGGATAAGAGAGAAACAGTAAATTTGGAATTCTGCTTGTGATCCTCTCTCTCCGTTGATTTTTTTTTTAATCTTTAGGATTAAAATTGGGACATTGCAGAATCCCTATATGATTAGGACCTAGGAAAATAGAACAGAATCTCTTTCTAATTTTATTTTTGAATGCCACATTTAGTGCCACTTCTTAAAGACAAACTAAGCAGTATTTGTTTCTAAGAACACTTCTCCCCAGGGGTCAAAGATGAAGTTTTAACCTCTAAAAAAAATTTTGGGGATGAAAAGCAATGATGGTTAGGGTCCTCAGGCATCTGATGACCTCTGCTTGTTACCACTGAACCCCCTTTGTCTAATATGAATGACAATTGGGTCTTCCCTCAGTATGAACTGCCAGACAGTAGTGCCACCCCTAATTAGCTCACATATCAAAGTAACAAGACATATAGCTATTTCAAAATAAATATTCATATTTATATTTAATAACATAAGTTGAAATATTAGAACAGACAAAATAAGATTTTAAAATTAGCCTAATAAATACCTTAAAAGAGATAAGATTAGCAGTATGAAACAATAATAAGATCTTTTAAACCAAGCAGAAATATTACATATAATAGCTGATTAAAACTCAGCCTGAAGTCTCTTAACTGGAAGGGATGAAAATCTTCTCAGAGATCTGACTGCAAAAGAGTGTCAAGAACTGGAAACATCCAAGGAAGAAAACAGAAGCTGCCGGCTGACATTCAGAGGCTGAAGGATGAGATAACAGAAATAGCTAACGAAAATGAAAATCTATGATCCACAGAAGAAAGGAAAAACAAGCAGAGGAACAAACAGGTAGCCATAGGCAGGGAAAAAAGAAGTAATATGGACCTTAAAAAGAGGATTTAAGGTTAATGTGTCAACTTTATATATGTCAAATTTGAGTTTTTTGTTATCCTTTTGGTAAGATTGTTTACATTTATCATCAGTCCAATGGGTTAGTTTGAGGATGAATGAAGGTTCTTCCCAGGCTCTGCATCATGGCCTTTAGACAGTTACCCAATTATAAGAAATACCAGGCAGGGCGTAGTTGCTCGCGCCTGTAATCCCAGCACTTTGGGAGGCTGAGGCAGGCAGATCACGAGGTCAGGAGATCGAGACAATCCTGGCTAATACGGTGAAACCCCGTCTCTGCTAAAAATACAGAAAATTAGCTGGGCGTTGTGGCACGCGCCTGTAGTCCCAGCTACTCGGGAGGCTGAGGCAGGAGTATGGCGTGAACCTGGGAGGCGGAGCTTGCAGTGAGCCGAGATCGCGCCACTGCACTCCAGCCTGGGCGACCCAGCGAGACTCCGTCTCGGAAAAAAAATAAAAAATAAAAATAAAAGAAATACCAGTCATCCTATGTGGAAAAGTACTCTTACTAATTTGCATATATCATTCTGTCATATGAGCACATGCAACTTTATAAGTACATAGAATGTTACTGTCGATAAAATTCAACAAATGATACGTGAGCAATAACTATATATCTGACACTTTGCTAGATGCTGTTAGGGAAAAGATAACACAACAGTCAATAAAATAGAGGCTCTATCATTAAAAAGATTAATAACCTAAGGAGAGAGATGAATGATCCAAAAATACATCTAATATTATTATTGTAACTGTATATATATATATATATATATATTTTTCTTAGCCATATTTCCAATAGAATGTAAGCTTCATTAGAGATACTAAGTCTTATCCATTGTTATGCCCCTATTGGCCAATGCCTCACACATGGTAGATATTTAGTAGCATATTTGATAGTGGATGACCAAATGAACAATAATAAGTAAAAAGTGCTATGAATATGCAGAGGGAGAGAGATTTCTGATAGAATTAGTGAAAACCTTTTGACAGAGGAAATGAGGTTTATGCTAGAAATTGGAACACAATCAAGAAATTGTCCATAGTAAAAGAGAAAGGAAAGCAAACTGCTTAAAATTTGCCAAGACAAAGAAGCAAGAGAAAGTAGAGAATGAGGTATGTCAT
Organism: Homo sapiens; assembly: GCF_000001405.40. Taxonomy (NCBI): domain Eukaryota; kingdom Metazoa; phylum Chordata; class Mammalia; order Primates; family Hominidae; genus Homo; species Homo sapiens. The sequence continues at coordinate 53,767,749 of NC_000010.11, forward strand.
GTGCCTCATATATAAACATATGATATTCATATATACACATGTATAGTAAGCTGTGTTAGTCCATTCTCACATTGCTAGAAAGACTTATCTGAGACTGCATAATTTATAAAGAAAAGAGGTTTCATTGGCTCACAGTTCTGCACGTTGTACAGGAAGCATTGCTGGGGAGGCCTCAGGAAACTTAGAATCATGGCACAACGTGAAGGGGAAGCAGCATGTCCTATATGACTAGAGCAGGAGGAACAGAGTGAAGGGGGAGGTGCTTCACACTTTTAAGCAACCAGATCTTGTGAAAACTCATTCACTATCACAAGAACAACAAGGGGAAACCTGACCCCCCTGGTCTAATCACTTCCCATCATGACCATCCTCCAACACTGGGGATTACAATTCAACATGAGATTTGGGTAGGGACTCAAATCCAAACCATACCATACAGTCATGCACTGCTTAATGATGGGGATCTGTTCTAAGAAATGCATCATTATGTGATTTCATCATTGTGTGAACATCATAGAAATACTCACACAAACCTAGATGGCATAGTCTACTATAGAAGTAGGCTGTGTGGTATAGCCTATTGCTTCTGGGCTACAAATCTGTATAGCATGTTACTGTATTGAATACAGTAGGTAATCACACCACAGTGGTTTTTGTGCATCTAAACATGGAGAAGGTACAGTAAAAATATGAGATTAGAATCTTATGTGACCACCATCACATCTGGTCCATCCTTAACAAAAACATCATTATGTAGCACATGACTGTATATATTAACAAAATATTTTCTGCCAAAGAAACCCATATTTCAAGAGGCTAATTTTATTTTAATTTGGAAATGCTTATTATGTTTCAATTTCCCTTCAGCTTTGACTCTCTCCCAGCTTTTGATCTCATGCAGGTAGGTTCAAGGGTTTCCTAAAGTGATAAATGTGCATCCTCACATAATGAGCTGCCAACTTGCTTCATCAACAAAAATCTGGTATCATTGTGCTGGTGGTGTTTTTGAGCAAGGATTGTGATGCTTTTCTTCATATACTTAAACATGAACTATAATGTCATGAGTTTCTTAATTTAATGGTGAGGAATCACAGCAAATTAAAGACAATAATTTACCAGCATGAGGCCTGCTATTTACCTTTTGTGAAAGGGATTTATTTCTTGAATACATGCAGAATTATTACTTCTGGAATGCAAATTTAGAGACATATCTTATACAGAATGAAATTTCACCTAATGAAGTTAGCAGTGGGAATTGGAATTATCAAGTATTTACATTTTTTTGTACAAATTAGAATTACATTATACTAGTGATGCTAATGGGATTTAAACATATTTATTCTCAACACGATCTTAAATCTCTACACGATTAGTGTATTTAATCAACAGAATTTGCAGTTTTACTTGAATATATTTAATTCATTCTTTATGATTATTATAATTTGGTACAAATATAGTGAAAGAAAGGAAAACAGGCATATTTCTAAAACCAAACTGCCTCATTTATTTCCTTGGCTCTCATAAATTCCCCCTCTATTTCCTTAAAAGAACATTGATATGTTATTGCAAATATTGGTGGGCCCTTCCATCTAAGGACAAATTTTGCATTTGATTACGTTGGAATGAATGAGATCTTGCACAGACTCTGTGGCTAAATGGGAAGAATGAATGAAAGTAATAGAGTATGGTGCAAACATTAATGAATTTTCCCATTCTCACACCTTTAATTTCTTTTCCTGGAACATCATTAAAAGATAGCTTCTGTTTATGCATAATGTAATTTTAGTTATAAGACAGAAAAAAGGCTAATGTAGGAGTCAGAGAATCATGGACTAGTTTCTCTTTGATTCTTGACGAACAATAAAAGGATTTAATGGACTTTTCCAGTATGTTATTTCAATCTTGTGGTCACACAGATGATGAAAAAGAAGGCTAGATAAAAAAATTTCATAGGCTAAATTTAAAGTAATTAAGTTATTTAAAGGTTTAAAAACATTTTGAAAACTGTTCTTGACAATATGTTTATTTGATAATGTGTCATAAGAACTTACTGATTAAATAGACCTTGCTCTATGAATATAAATATGTCTCGCTAGTAATATAATACTTTTAAAAAATAAAGTTGAGTGTTTATTAATAATATGATGTGGGCATCATACTTATTATTAATATAGATAGTGATATAGATGCGAGGTGTGGATATATTTAATCAATTAAACAACACAAGGGAGACACTCGTATTACTCCTATTTATATAGTTGATAAAATTGAAACTCAGAGAGTTGAAGAGACTTGCCAGAAGTTATATAATAGGTAGATGAAAGAGGAATGGTATTATTCAAGGTATTTTCACCTTAAAAGTTCATTTTCTTGGTATATATGAAGTATCAATTCCTAACCTTTAATTTCTTCAATTTCTTTAATAAGTTAAGAATTAAGGTTATTTTTGGTTAAGAAGTGTCTACTAATTTTAGAGATGTTTCCTAAAATAAGCATAAAATTTAGAGAGTGGGTTATGCCAGAAATATTTCACTCCATTTTATGGTAGAAATTAATGGTATTTCTCAAAAGGTTATAATTGTAACATAATTATAATATTTGAAGAACATGTTTTGGCAAATGAACACAAAAAAGAGCATTCCAAGTATTCAAATATCTACATATGAAGTATGAGACTATGATTAGGGAATGCAGAGTCTTTTAATAAGCCTGATTCATTGTTGTGGGATATGGGAACAGAGAGGATTAACGCTAAGCATGGGAGCAGAGGCTGGTTTATTTTGGAGGGAAGTATAGACAAATCTTGTAGGTACAAGAATTCTGGAATTTAGACTAAGACCAGTTAAAAGCCATTGGAGACTTTAAGCAGGGTACAGCTAGTATAAGTTTCGCACTGAAAATCAAATTTCAAGTAATTTAGTGGCACTGCTTAATAGAAAATATTCAAGAAAATCGTCTGATAAATACTATCTACATTATTTAATTCATAGGTATAGATTATAGTCCAGAAGGAGATGAACATAGAAGTGAACTGGCAGGATGTGAGAAGAAAGAGTAACAGTGCCTGCTATATAAATCTTAATTTTTCATTTTAAAATCATATTTTTCAAAAGAAGGAATAAATTGTATTATTTTTATTATTATCACTATTTTGACATATTGATTTAAAGGTGAAAGACGTTAATATTCATAAAGGCAATCTGAGTAGCTTAAAAAAACAAACCGACGTAAAAGTCACAATTGTGGTTATCTTTGAAACGTTGGTAATGATTTCAGAGGTTGAAAAGGGCTTCTGAGTTGCTGGTAATGGTGTTTCTTTATCTTTATGATGGCTGTCATATGTGAAATATGTCGAAAAGATCAAGCATGCAAACAATTAGGATCTCAGACTAGAGCGGAAATGAAAAAGAGCAAATATACATGTAAAGATAACACTGGAAAAATTTTCCAAGTTGATTAAAGATATCCAGCAATAGATTTGAAGCACTGCATTTAATAAACAACAAAGCAGAATAAATGTAGAGAAAAGCAAATCTAAGCACATTTTAAGCAATCTTAGAGATCAATCTTAAATAGGAATAAAAAATATATTATTTTCACAGGAGAATAAAAATACTAACATCTAACTTAAAAACAGAAACAAGAGAAGGCAGAAGACAGGTGGAATCATATTTTCAAATTATTAAAATAATAATTGTCAACCGTGCAGAAAACGATGAACATAGCAGGGTTGAAATTGCTATGCTTAGAAAGACCTTGTAAGGTTGGCCCTTGGTTGGCATTTTCAGACATGTCATTTTTAGTGTGTTCCTTGTAAACAGTTACACGAAAAAAAGCGGCTCACAATAATTAGTTATGTTGTTTAAAGAAAAGCAATATGGTTTATGTTAAACACTTGCTTACCTTCTGGGAGCCTGGAATTTAGGTAAGTGGTAGGCAGTGGGTGGTAACATACAGGCCTAATAAAAACTTCGGGGAGTGAGTCTCTTAGGGGCTTCTCTGGGAAGAAATATAACACTCACTTGCTGCTTTTTTATAGCTAGGGGAAGAGTGTGCTCTGTGTTAACTGTCATAGCATAAGGAAGCATTAAAGAGCATAAGGGAGTCTGCACGTGGATTCCGCTAGACTCCGTCTTTCCCTTGCAACCTAGGTACATATCCTTACTGGATCACTGTAATAAATCTTGGCCATGAGTACGTTACATGCTGAGTCTCTTGACTCACTTTGCGAATGTCCGAACGGGAAAGTGGTCCTGGGGAGAACGGCTACCAAGAATTACATACTTATTGATGTTTCTGTCAAAATAATGGCCAAATAATGAAGTTAACAAACAAACAAAAACACATGATCGATAAGAGAACAAAATTAAATAAATACTAAGGAGTATTTTTCTGGAAGAAACAAAATGATCTTGCGTAATTTCTTCAGCAGAAAAAAAAATTAAAAGCAATTGAAACAGCGAATTTGCCAATTACAAAGAGCCACGCTTCAGCCAATCACAGGCAGCCAAGTGATCACATCATACCCCGAAAGGGCAAACACCTAGCTGTGGCCAATTGAGTTATTTTGGTACTTTGCTTCTGTGTTTGTCCTATAAAAGCTCACTGCTTATGCTGCTGGGTGGAACTCTCTCAAAATTTCTTGGTTCTGAGTATTGTCTAATTCATGAAACCTTATTTGATAAAATAAACTCTGCTAAATTTAATTTGTCTGAAGTTTATTTTTAACAGTCTCAATACATAAATTCACTCTATAAAATAATAATAGTGGATATACACAAACATTGGCTGCATACAATCACAGTATACGCAGGGGAATATGTGTATAAGTACATAAAAATTGTAGCAGGATTATACATAAATATACCATGATATCTACAATATTTAATTTAGGAGAATAGAAAAGGAGTTAAGACATTCTGCAATCATTGAATTTCCTGGTAAATGATAAAGGCATATGAAAATATGTTGAAATCGAAGTATAATTTAAGGCAAAAAATTATTAGATATAGATACACTTAATATTCATAAAATATTAATCCAGCAGGAAAATGTAACCTTTTTATATGAATGCGTACATAATGGAGTCTCAATATATAAAGCAGGAAATTGACAGGATTCAAAGACATAAAAATCATGATGAAAAATAACATCTCTCCTAGTAACTGATGCAACAAGTAAGCATATAATCAGTAAGTGTAGAGAAGTTTTGAATTAAAAATTAACAAACATGCTCTAATTGTCATTATTATATAGAACATCTCATTTAATACCTTCAGAGAATTTCTTATTTTCTGGGGAATCTACTACATTTTACAAACTGATTATATTCTGGGCCATAATGCATGTCTCAAAAATTTTAAGTGATGGAAATCAAGCTATGTTCTCTGACCAGCATAGAATTAAGAAAAAAAGTTAACATAAACAATTCTAAAACAAACCAAAACAGAAAAATCTCATGTGTTTTTCAGATTAACCAATTTGATTCTGAATAACCTGAGGATAATGGAAAAAAAGATTTGAATAAAATTATATTCAATTTTGAGCTAATGATAATGAAACTATTGACAAAATTATAAACTATATAGACATCCGTGATTTGAGAGAAACTTATCATTTAAATGCAAATATATTTTATACATTTTATTTTATTTTACTTTTTGAGACAGAGTCTCTCTCTGTCGCCCAGGCTGGAGCACGGTGCTGAGATCTCAGCTCACTGCAACCTCCACCTCCCAAGTTTAAGTGATTCTCATGCCTCAGCCTCCCAAGTAGCTGGGATTCCAGGCATGTGCCACCATGCCCGGCTAATTTTTGCATTTACGGTAAAAACAGAGCTTCATAATGTTGGCCTGGCTGGTCTCGAACCCCTGACCTCAAGTGATCCTCCCACCTTGGCTTCCCAAAGTGCTGGGATTGCAGGCATGAGCCACCATGCCTGGTCTAAAATGCATACATATTTTAAAGTTATAAAGGTATATGATATATGCATTCATCTCTAAAACTTATTCAACAACAGCACATTAAAATAAACTAATTGAAATGATGAAATAATAAAGATAAGTTAGAAATGAATATAGTAGGATCAAAGGTCAAAAATCAGTGTCATAAATTGATTTTTTGAAAAAAGCTAGGGAAATTGATAACCCCCTGGTAGGACTGTATTAGGCCATTCTTGCATTGCTATAAAGAAATACCTGAGACTGGGCAATTTGTAAAGAAAAGAGGTTTAATTGGCTCATGGTTCTGCAAGTTGTACAGGAAGCATGATGCTGGCATCTGCTCCACCTCTGGGGAATTTACAATCATGGTGGAAGGTGAAGTGGGAGCCAGCACTTCACATGGCCAGAGTAGGAGGAAAAGAGGAGGTGGTGGAGGTGCTATACATTTTTAAACAATCAGATCGCACAATAACTCACCCACTATCATGAGAACAGCACCAAGGAGATGGTGATAAACCATTCATGAAGTATTCACCTCCATGATCCAATCACCACCTCCCACCAGGCTCCACCTCCAAAAATGGGGAATACAATTCGACATGAGATTACAATTTGACACAAATCCAAACCGTATCAAAGACCAATAAAGAAAAAAAAAATCATGTAGCAGAAACAACCAATCTCTGGAATAGGAAAGAACATTATAGTTTCTATAAACATCAAAATGATAATTAAAAGGATAATGAAAATTTCTTGTGAATACATTTGAAAATCAGATGAAATAATTTTGTGCACAACAATAGTATTTAAAATCTAGTATTTAAAATCTAATAACTGGTTCTGATACCTGGTGGTGAGTTGCTGCCATAACAAATTCCTATAATATGTGTCACTGTTCTTGGTACCACATGACAGTCAGAAGATGGAATAGCTTTGTGGAGGCATCTGGAGGAAGTCTAGTGAGCCTGAACAAAGATGGCCATGAGAACACAGTGCAAAAACAATGTTATTGGAGGGTGGACAAAAGGATTCCCTTCCAGCGTAGTCTTGGAAAGATTATCACAACTGTTACAGGCAGTTGCATAAAAAACAGAGACTGTGACTAAATGAATGGATGGATCTGGCTAAGGAGAATTCCAGGGAGAATGTGTCAACTTATTTTATTAAGGTTACAAGGACCATAAGGTCTGAATAGAAGAAAATCAAGTAATTAATTATTTTTTAAGTAGAATGCAGAGGAAATATAAAGGTGCCAGAAATTTGTGTTTTTAACAACAAAACTATTCTCCATGTCCTGTTGTTCCAGATGGCAAATGACTCATGCAAACATAAATTTGAAGGTATTACAAGCGAAATATGGTCTTAGGGTAAAAATGAGGCTTTTGCTAAGACCTTAGAGAGATCCAAGATGTACCTAATGGAATCCTGAAAACAAATAAAAAGCCTTATAGAGATGTTACGGGCGTGACTCTAGAGTTGTAAGGACTTCTAACAATCTTAATGGCATTTTCCTTCAGTAGCCTCATTAGGATCCCAAGATAGAGAGGCACCCTATATCAAGGGAGTTTTGTTTAATCAACTGATTCTCCAGTAAAATTGATAGTAGACCCATAAAGACTTTTTTTTTTTTTTTTTTAGACGGAGTCTTGCTCTGTAGCCCAGGCTGGAGTGCAGTGGTGCAATCTTGGCTTACGGCAAGTTCTGCCTCCTGAGTTCATGCCATTCTCCTGCCTCAGCCTCCCGAGTACCTGGGACTACAGGCACTCGCTACCATGCCTGGCTAATTTTTTTTTTTTTAGTAGAGACGGGGTTTCACTGTGTTAGCCAGGATTGTCTCGATCTCCTGACCTCGTGATCTGCCCACCTTGGCCTCCCAAAGTGCTGAGATGACAGGCGTGAGCCACCGTGCCCGGCCATAAAGACCTTGTTGATCATTTTGCTAGTGGAAACATCAAAAGCTTGAAATAAAAGAGACAGAGAGTGCAAAATGAAAAGAGCCTCTGGACCCCAAACCTTTGTGAGCAGGAAGTAGGCTAAAAGAACCAAATTATCACTTACGGAACAGAGGATAATTGTGAGAGGGTAGAATCAGAGGACAGCTCAAGAACAACAGAGAGCAAAATCCCAGAGAATAAGAATGCTCTTTAGGAAAATGAATGGATTATTATTACAGAAACTGATATTTATCTGTCTAGATTTTAGATTATCTATGGACCAAAGATAACTAGATTCCTCCTACCTCACCCTCTTTTTGAATGGAAACTTCTACTGCAGCTTCTGTATTTCCACTTCCCACCATTATATGTTGAGCATGGAAGACATGTAATTTGGTCCTTTATTTCACAGATCTACTGATAGAAACTGGACAAGAACTATGCCTGAGGAACCTCAACTAAACCTGGACCTGATTTAGATGAAGAGATCCTGGACCTCAAAATTGAATTTTGTGCCATAATGGGCTGAGGTCTTTTGGAGGTTTTTAGATGGAGTGAGCATAATTTGGATGTGGAACGAATAGAAATAACTTGTGGTCAGAAGGTGAAAGGTTAAAAAAAATGGCTGCAAAAATTCAAGTAAAAATTTTTAAAAAATTGAAAGAAAGTTGGGTTACAGATTCCCTCACCTTGAATCTGAGTGAGTTTGTGATTATATTTTTACAATATGGTAGAAATGATGCTATGTAACATCTGAGGTGACACGTAAATAAGAAAGACAAAAATATGCAGTGTTCATATTGTTCACTGGAACACCAAATGAGATGTGTGACTACCAGGAGGCCATCATGCTGTGAGTAAGCCCAAGACAAATGGAAAGGCAATGAGCAGACCATTTGGTCTATGGTCTCAGCTGACTCCAGCCTTTGCATCTCCCCAGCTAAGACACTAAATATGTTTGTGAAGGAGGTTCCAGATGATTCCAACTCTCATCTGTCAAGTTGAAACCAATTTCACAAAACTTCTATACTAAGATTTAATATTTTGAATTTTAAGTAACTGTTTACCTTTAAAAAAATTCTAATAAAATTTTGCCCCCATATGAAATGAATGTATTTTTATCTATACAAACTGGCTTCTTCCCTTAGGATAATGGCCTCAGGAAGAGAAACCCATATACCATGTGTTCTCCCTTATAAGTGGGAGCTAAACATGGAGTACATATGACACAGAAGGGAACAATAGACACTGGCCCACTTGAGGTGGGAGGCTTGGCAGAAAGTGAAGATCATCAAATTACCTATCAGGTTCTATGCTCACTGCCTGGGTGAAAAAATAATTTGTACACAGAATGCCAGCAACACATAATTTACCCATGTAACAAACCTGCACATGTACCTCTTGAACCTGAAAAATAAAAGTTGGTAGGGAAAAAAATAACATAACAAACCTAATTTAACATAACATAACATAAAACATAACATATAACATAGACATAACATAAAAAACAATATAACAACATAACATAATAACAACATAACACAACGTTTTAAAAAAGAAACTGGCATCTATCTAGTTGTGCTTATAAATTTTCTTTTATTTTTATTTATTTTGGCTAAAACTGTTTAACAATTTTGAATGGCCATCTTATTTTTGAACAGTAGATTGAGTCCTAGACTTTTCTATTGCTTCTTATATTGTAAAGAATCTGAAATAGTTTTTGAGACAAAGCAGCTCCAAGAAAACCTGTCTCTGGCCTACATTTTTATCCCACTTCATGGAAAGATAAGGTAATCCCAAGAAAAAGCAGATATACACCATTCGGGCCCAATAAATAGTCTTAAACATATCTAGCCCAAATTTCAGATTTATCATAATGGATTTGACGAGAAAGAAGGAGCTAGTACAAAGTCGACACATACTTCCTTTGTACCACATTCCTTGTCATTTATATGTGTCTGATTCCATTCCTGTTAATGATAAGCAGCTAACTATGATAGTCTACGAGCGCAGGATCTTTACCTTATTAAATGCTGTATTCTCAGAGACTAAGTGCGCAGCGCATGGTTTATTGATGAATACTCAAAACATTTATTTATATTTGAATATAATTCCATCATGACTCGTAAACATTTTTTACGTAATATTTTTCAACAATTTTTACATAAATAATACTTGGCAAGTATTTTAATATTTTTTACATAAATAATACTTGGCAAGTCACTTTAATGCTTCTGTGTCATTTCCTTATTTGAAACCAAAAAAAGTGTTCAACATTTACCTAAGTTTCTTTTTAGTTTTCATATGTAATTATTCGGAGATTTTTTTCAACTAGATCCTGAGATACAGTAATTCTGTATGTAACCGATAAGAGAAGAACATAATATTTATGTTTATATGATGTTTTACTCTAGGAAAAAATAGGCGGAAACCAAAAATGTGCGTTTTCAGCAGGAATCAATTGTTCAAATGTAGCTAGTTCTCTGACAGTTACTTGAGAAACTCTGAATGTTACATTTATTGTTCAGCTTATTTACCACCATATCTAAGGCCCTATAGTCGGATTAACCAAAATCAGTTTTTGCTATTATATGAACTTCTTCATCTGCCCTTCCTTTTCCTGATGCATTTTTGTTTAGTTTTACCCAGTAAATCCTACTTCCTTGCCCAGGCTGGCATGTTTTCACACTTAACACTGTATGCCCTGTTACCCTTATCAAAATTCCTATCCTGTTATTGGGCATTAGGGGGAACTTAGCTTTGGTTAAAAGTAAGTACTGTGTTACTGGAAGCTCTACCTTCATCTACTAATGTGCAGTTCTAAAATGATTAACAGATAATGCAATGAGATTCAGAATTAGATGGTGAGAAATGTGAAGATCCTCAAGCATAAAAAAGTTTTGAAAAATTTAAGATGTTTTTCCCCTTAGATCCTGTAAATGGGTTTAATGTTGACTAACTGTTAAGGCCCACTACCCACTCTAGCTTTACCTCATATTATTTTTTCTCAGGGGAAAATAAAAAGCCTTTCGCTCTTCTCCCTGTGCCAAAGTCTGTCCAACCCTTTAAACATTGTAAGGCATAACATAAGTTACTGTAGAAGTGGGCACAAGGACAGTATATAGAGAAAACTGGGTTTCTCTCAACTTCATGTCATTTGATAAGGGTTCAGTAATTTTCTTGTGACATTTGACTGGCATTTAATATTGGAGAAGGACAGACTTTCATTTCCATTTTACATTTAATACTGTTGTTTACAGAGAAGTTTGTAATAATAAATATATAATGCAAATTAGGCTAGTACGTTTTTTGTCCAGAGGTTTTACACAAATGCTGTCTTCTAAGTGAAATATGTTTTAAAACAAGTAGATGGAATAAAAATTAACCACTAAGTCATATACTGAAATAAAGTAACTTGTGTTGTTTTGCTTCATACAAAATATTATATAGCTGTTTTTTAACACTCACTGGAAATGACTAGAAATGTCATCTGAAGAATACAATATCTCTTCTTCTAATTTTTGTAATGAGCTTATCATTTATTTGGTCATTTATTCAGCAAAATATTTTGATATTCCACTGTGCCTGCAAGATGAATATGACAAAATTCATCCACTGGAAGAGCTCTCAGCTTGATGGCAGAAGATAAATACATAAATGAATAATCATAAAATAAAATGATACACAGACTCATAGACTCAGAAGGAAATACAAGAGAAAGATTCTCAGTAGTGATGACACTTTGAAGAATTAGTAGACACTAAGGGGAAAAGACACTTTCCTAAAGTGGAGAAACATAAACAAGCACACTTATCAAACCTCTCAAACATTCTG